>NC_000004.12:85739562-85891077 GCF_000001405.40 Homo sapiens | reverse complement strand
TCCACTGCCTGCTTCAGGTTATCATTATCTCTCACCCTGATCACTACAGCCACCTTTTCATGGTTACCCCGTCTCTAATATCATCCATCGCAATCTCACTGTTACATTGATTTTAGGCGATCCCTAGACTTGCAGACACTTGTTAAATGAACACTTGTTGGTGCCCACTCTGTTTTAGGGCTTTAGAAGTGAATGAAACAAGGTCCCCACCTTAATGGATTTTATGTGCTATTGTCATAGATTAAATTTAATAACTTTTCTGCTTAAAAATCTTTCAAAACAATTCATCCTCAGAGAGGATAAGGTCCCCAGTTGCAGTGGTGTGCAAAGCCCTTAACAGTCTAGCTTCTAACACATTTCCAGTCCCATTATCAAAGCCAACCTCATCTTCTCACCCTGATTTTCTAGATAGGCTATTCTAGCTGCCACTACCTGAACGTGATTTTACTTCCACGTTCCCTCCTGCACCTCTTTATTTCCTTGTAAAATTTCTATTCAAACTTAAAGACTGAGGTTGAGATTTTCACTTTCTGTGGTGTTTTCCTCAAGATACTAGCCAGGCTGAATTGATTTTTCCCTCTGTGGTTATGTTTGTTCACGCTTCCATCACCACCCATATTCACAGAGTATTATGATTCTTTGCTTAACTATCTCTCCTACCAGGCTGTTAGTTTCTTAAAATGATGCAGTCATCCTTGTATCCTGAGCCACTAGCAAAAATTCTGCCACAATAGGAACTCAGTAAGGGTTTGTGTGATGACCAAGATAAAAGGAAGAAGAGAGAGATAAAGAGAAGAGTGAACAGAAAGTCAGGGGGCTGGGAAGTCTACAGGGATGAAAGTATTAGTAATAAAATAGTTAACGATCTTTATTCTATACTGAGTAAATGCTAAGGACTAGGTGTCATTGTTAACTGATAGCTAAGAGGAAAGGCGCTGATTGTCCTCAACAGACCTTTCATCGGTCCAGTGATTCATTTTCTCAGGTTGACTTTTCAAAACAGGGAATCTTTGCTTTCCTACAACCCTGACAGCATGATGGGAAGGAAACTATATATACATCATTACCTAAAAAATGAAAATTGTAACTCCTTTTTCAGATCATGGATTTAGGTATAGAAGGAGGAGGAGGAAAAAGAGGCAATTAAAAAAAGAAAGAGATGGCAATAAAAGTCTTGGAGGGTCAATAAAAGATTCTTCCAGGACTCAGAGGATTTATGTATAGATAAGGCGTTTAGGGGGGATTAAGAAATAATGTGCTGTGATTGCTCTTGCTACTATCAGCTGTAAATGATAGAAGTACCAGGAAGCAGGGCATTATTTATAGAAGAGGCCATTTCAGTTGCTGTGTGAATTTCAGGAGAATTAATGTTTGGAACTTTAACCAGTGAGATAGTTGGAGTTCTCCCCTGGCATTCCATCCATTTTGCTCTGTACACATTAGTAAACAAGCAGCTAAATAGTCGTGGAAAGAAGATGTATGAATATGAAAGTTTTCTGACATTTCAAATATAAAATCGCCTTGTATACTAATATACGAAACTAAGCCTCATAGACTACAGAATAAAAGGTGTTTCACTTCTGCTTTAATTCCATGAGGTCTTACACTAAAAAGGAAATAATAACAGCTCATGTTTATTGAGACTTCTCCCTAAATATGTTATTTAATCTGTAAATATTAATTACAATTTCACTTATTAGGATAGTTTATAAATTTACAATTTGTCTGCATTTACTAACAGGTGACACATGTAGTAAATAAGGAATTCTGCCTCTCTCTCTATCTTGCCGGACATTACCAATGTAAACATTTTCTCAGCAGGAATGGGAAGTTAAGTTCCTGTTATACTTACCCCATGTCCATATAGAATTTACACTTAGTTTAATTTAAAATCTGGCATTTTCTTAGGTAAATGGTGTGGGATATTCATTCTCTTGAAACAAATACCCAATAAGTTTAAATCATTCTTTTATAAAGACACATGCATGTGTATGTTTACTGCAACACTATACAGAATAGCAAATACATGGAATCAAGCTAAATGCCCATCAAATAATAGACTAGATAAAGAAAATGTGATACATATACCCTATGGAAAACTATGCAGCCATAAAAAAGAAAAAGATCATGTCCTTTGCAGGGACATGAATGGAGCTGGAGGCCATTATCCTTAGCAAACTAACATGAGAACAGAAAACCAAATACCAGATGTTCTTATTTATAAGTGGGAGCTAAATAATGAGAACACATGGACACGTAGAGTGGAACAACACACACTGGGGTCTATTGGAGGGTGGAGGGTAGGAGGAGGGAGAGGATCAGGACAAAAAAGCAGTGGGTACTAGGCTTAATAACTGGCTGATGAAGTAATCTGTACAACAACCCCCCATGACACAAGTTTACCTATGTTAACAAACCTGCACATGTAACCCTGAACTTAAAACTAAAGTTTTTTTTAAAAAAAAGAAAAACAATTTGGTGTCCAAGATGGTGTAAATAAAAAAAGATACCTCAGTATTTAAAAACAAACAAACAAACAGAGTTTAAACTTTTTTGACTAATATAATAATTGCTGCTCAGAGCAATGAACTCAATGCTACAAAAATGCATCTGAAGCTTATAAACATCACTCCTGTACAGATAGAATTTTCTTTCTTTCTTTTTTTTTTTTTTTTCTTGAGAGGAAGTCTTGCTCTGTTGCCCAGGCTGGAGTGCAGTGGTGTGATCTTGGCTCACTGCAACCTCTGCCTCCCGGATTCAAGCGATTTTCCTGTATCAGCCTCCCAAGTAGCCGGATTACAAGTGTGCGCCACCACGTCCGGCTAATTTTTGTATTTTTAGTAGAAATGGGGTTTCACCATGTTGCCCAGGCTGGTCTCAAACTCCTGACCTCGTGATCCACCTGCCTTGGCCTCCCAAAATGCTGGGATTACAGGCGTAAGCCACCACGCCCAGCACAGATAGAATTTTCTTAAATCGAGAGTTACCAAAACATGACAAAGAAATTCAAATGAGGCCTCATTTGAATTTCTGAGGTCATAGGTAAGATTGATTTATTTTTCCTAGTCATATGTAATCCAGGGAAAACATTGATTTATATATGACCCAGGATGTTCTCTCTTCAGAAAATGCCAGCTTTGATATTTGTCAACAACATAAATGGTAAGAAATATTTTGTTTTCTACTTCTTTTTGATAAAATATAGCCAATCAGGGAAAAAAGGTAAACAATTACAAAAACATTTTGATAAAGGTATCTTACCTATGACCTCACTTGTCATAGGTACATGACATAAGTACATAAGAACAGAGCATCTTTAGATTCTTTAGTATTTCAGATCAAAATTCACCTAAGCATCAGCTTTGGGAACTTGAAATAACAGAGGTAATGACAGAGGTAAAAGGAGAAACTTCCATGGAGAAACGTTTTTATGTTACAGTAATTTAGCGTCTTTTTCTAAAAGGTTCTTAATGTTTTACATGTTTTAGTGTTGTAAAATATTTACAACTGTAAGCATATAGGCATAGGCTATATTGTTATGTCCTGGTGTTTCTGGAGACAGTCTCCCAATCCATAGAGCAGGAAGATATTTGTTCCATCTCTTTCTCAGTCTCTTACTCTTTTACCCACTATTTTAAGGATAGATTTTCATTTGATGTCATTAAACTTTATCAAAATTTGGTATACCTCTCCTTTGATTAATAATTCTTAATAGACATATTTTAAATATAATTAATTAACCTTGGATGAGAAGAAACTTTTGAGGGCTTTGGATTATATATTTTAATACTCTAATCAGCAAAGAATCTTTTAATTAAATGTTAGAGGATTCCTTTTAAAATTATGATGTCTTACATAAACCTTTGGCAATATTAATGAAAAACAATTATTAAATAATCATCATGACAGTAAATACACCAGTTTTTACTCTTTTGTCTTCTTCTAGTCCTTTTCATACATATAGATGATACAAATATTTCTTGAATATTGGTACCAGAGTATGCTCTTGTTACTTCAAAAATTACATTTGCCATATCGTAACTATTTAGGTAAATCTCTTAAAAATGGTACCAAAGCTAGTCAATGCAATCATTATCTGATTGATAATGAGATCAAGGCAAGAGAAAAGCTGAACAGCTTATATATAATAAAATCTCTTATTGTCTCTGTAATGACCAACAAGAAATTCTATGCATAGAACAAATACATTGCCCATGTGAGTCATCCTTGTTTAAACATTCTCTTGTATCAAAACATAAATGAGCTATTATTTTCATATCAGTGTGGAGTATAGGGGTTAATTTAAACTATTTTATTTGAAAATCTTAGGGGGAAATGGATATGATCTAGCATCATTATTTTAGATGCTTTATGACATCATTTCATTGTTTAATGTATTCACTTATTTGAAAGCAAAAAAGCTATTCAGTTAATACTTTCAAAGCTCTAGGGATATGTATCGGTTTTAAAGTGCCATTTAGAAAATAAACACTAAATGACTATCATTCCCTTTCTCTCCGTAAGTTTGGGTGGCCTCAACTCAAGTGTTTATTTTAGTGGTGATTCCATAAGCAACACACAAGCCTGGTCTATGATGATAAGGCTTAGTACTTTCAGGACCACCTTCTGGTGCACTAATTCTTCATCTATTAAGTGCTCACCTTTACATGACATGAGAATGTTAATCTGGAGGCAGGGTGATAACTGAAAATGAAAAGTATACTCTACCCATGGGGCAGCTTACTGTTGCACTTAAATCAGGTAAGTAACCCAACTCACATTTTGTATTTCACATGGTAACGTTGTTGTATGATTATATAATTGTCCTGCGAAGTTTATCATATTACAGTAAATAAATTATGTTGTCAGATAATGGTCATTGACAATCATTAAACTTTTGCTAAACACATGGTTTGTTAAAGATTATCTTGGGCCCTCAGATAATGAATTACTTTTGAGTTCAGTCATTTCCAAATTAAAGATAAATCTGGATACAATCTCTTCAAGGTATTTTGAAATTTCATGAGATGTTTCAAAATTCTTTATGGCATTAGAATAGCAATGTTGTGACTTTAATTAATAGTTATCTTCATTGGACAGGTGCAACAAGGAAATTGATGATGACACTGCATTTCAAATTTCTCTGTGCGGGATTCCTATTCTAGGAAGTGCATAACTAATCCAAAATTTTGCTCTCATAGTTATAAAAGATAATAAATAAAGTATCAACCAACATAATCTACCACATCTAACTCTAGCTTTAAACAATTAAATTAAAAAGCTCAGATGTTAAATGACCATTCTACTAGCCATAACAACATACCATTTTAGTTTGCCATGTCATTTAACACATGAGCCATTATCAAATATTTGGAAATAGATGGGACTCCAAGAACTACTATTTTCCCAATTTACTAGGAATAATTTTAAAAGATATAAATAAGTATTAAAAGTTCATGGTATTATTATTTTAAGTCTAAGACATATAGTCTATGATCCAAGAATGGTTTTGTTATACTTCAAATTTTTAACTTTCAGAGACACTTAATAACCTTTCAAAAAGACGACCTTGAAGATTCTAAAAATACCTAATTTTATTATCTGAGATAATTAATAAAACCCCCAAACTGGGTAACAGCTAATAGGTATTCGTGAGTTTCTATAGATAATGTACTATGAATTAGAATTTGTAAAACTGGCCCTTAGTTGAAAAGCACAATTAAAAAACATATATTTTAAAACCTATAATAGACACCAAGTTTCCAGAAGCAAATATAAGCCTAAATTAGGCTGTCTATGTGGATTACAAAACTAAAAGGCTAGGGGAGTTATATAGCACTCAAAATACTATAATCAAGACCACATATGTAAATATTAAACTTTACATAAAGGAAGCGTAATGAATCTAATATGTACCAAAAAGAAACTAAATCCTAAAATGCCCTCCTAAAATACGTTGGCTAATAATGAATAAATCTAAACACTGAAGAAAGGATGTATGCCTTCAATAAGAAAACTTTTTTCCATATTTCCTTCTACGTGGTAACTTCAGACCACTCTTGCAGTTTCTTTGTATTTCTTGACAGACATAAAAGACCTACATCATTAAAAATTTTCCAAACCCATTTTTACCATATATAACTGTGTAAAAGGTGGCACATTTTAGAGATTATGTTTATACCTATAATTTGTAGATGAAGCAGATCAGACAGTAAATTGAAATAATAAAACTTTAAAATAACAATTTTAGTTGATGCAACAATTTCTGTACTCAACACTCTCAACTCCAACCCCAAGATTTCTTTATCAAAGCTGCCAAATATTTCTAGGAGAAAAAAAATCAATGAATTTACCTTCCATATTTTCTAGAAGAAAGTCAAACATTCCACAACTTGATAGTTTCCGATTCAATCTTCCTTTATTACAGGAGTGTTTGTAGGAAGTGGGATAGGGGTTGCATGGAGATTAGTTTATAGACCCCCAGAGGAAAGCTAACCCAGAATGGAGGCTTGTTGTCTTCACACTCACCTCTTCCTTCATCAGCTAAGGGTGAGAGACCAGTGACCACGCATAATACCTCTGTAACTCCCCCTTAACAAATGTTTAGAAAGCTAGTCTTGACAGAAACTGATTACAGGGATAAAAATCACACCCCCTTGTCCCCTCACAACAAAGGGCTCGACAATGAGAAGATTAAAAGACAGGCTTTGAAGTGGTTTACTGTCCCATTGGTCTTTAAAGTCAAAGAAGGCAAAAAGTTTCTTCCCCTCATTAACTTTTCAGCATCTTGTTTAAGTGGACTGGAATCTTCTAAGATCACATAGTGCCTAAAAGAGATTTGTTGGAGAACCTTAGAGCAAAAATTCTTTGAAAAAATAGGTTCTATAAAATAAACTGGAATTGCCAATTCACTAACTAATGATTGGAGCAGTTGAGAGTGTTAATTTAATGAAATGGGCAATAAGTTTTGTGTTATCATCAATTACAATTTAACTACATATTCCTGCACAAAATTTAAAAGCTTTTTACTTTTTGTGAGACCAGATTCTATATAGAGAGCTTTCACACACTTGCCCTCAAAACATTATGGGAGTTTTAAGTGGATGATTTTTTTGTTGTTGTTCTTGGTTTAAATCTCTACTTTATAGATAAAGAAATTGAGGACCAGTGTGCTTTTCCTTAAACATGCATGAAAAATTATAGGTCAACATGCAAGGAAACTAGAACAAGCAGCTATACTCTGCTTGATAATCATATAAGACCCAAATGAAAGAAAAAATAAAGTTTGTATGGCTTCATAATTTGTGTTACGTTCTGCTAACATCTGTCTGTGTGTTTGGATATTTCACTATGTAACCATATCATTTCTCCAGAAACTCTCACCATCCTTGGCTCCTAGACCCTATACTGTCTTGGGTTTTTCATTTTCTCCTAGTTTAGCTAGTTTGTCAAGGCTTTGCCATTGGCCCTCTTTGTTTATGTAATGATGTATTATTTTCCTTCCCCCAGTGTAACCTCCCAGCACATGTACTCTACCCCCTGCACATGCAGAACTGGATGACTCTCTGGTCCCTAAATAAGTCTGTTCATTGCCATTGGGTCTTTCCTCCTGGCATTCCTACTAGTTGGAACAGTCTCTTATCATAGTGCATTTTCAGCCTAAGCCGCACACTAGAATCATCAAGAAAGGAGAGGAACCATTCCATAAAATATTTTACAAGCAACCCAAGTGATTCAGTTGATTCAAATATTTAGCCATGGTTAAAAACCACAAAAACCTATTAACATTCTCCCTATCTCTACAAACCCTGATCACAAGCCCTTTCAACCAGGTGTCCCTTCCATCTTTTGAAGTTCCTCTTCTTGCAAATTTCTAGTGATCCTTTCCAAATTCTTCATTATATGCGAACTTCTGCCAGCCTTCCTACTTGCTGGTAACCTTGGAAGAGGAGAGGTGACAGTTCTCCTCCCTGCCTTGTTTTAAATCCCATTGTTCCCCAGAAGTATCCCTGCTGATTTGCTTGACCCACACCACTGAAACACAGGATAGGGACCATTTAAATATTCTCAATGCCTTTCTTCCACAGTCTCGGTCAGTCCAGCAAGTTCTTTCTTCCTTTCCCAGATGGTAGCTCCAGTGTAGTAAATTGAGAACTAAGCAGTGCCAAGTTGTGTCCTGCCCAACACTATCATCTCTAATCTGCTCTGGGCAAATTCTGTTTTAGGTCCTGTTTGGTTCTTGTTAGTGACTCTAGTTTTACTCTAAAATCTCAGTCAAATCACTGGGGTTTAGATAGTTATACATTGACACCAGCATTGTCCCTTTATGTTCTCTGTTGCTGCATTCTGGCCACCTATGAGAACCTCTCTATTCTCCTTTGGAAAACCTTTGCTAAATGCTTCTTGAATCTCTTGGCCACGTGGACCATGGACCTTGATGGATTCTCTAAGCTGTTCATCAACTAGAATACAAAATAGAATATAGAGGAACCACAAAGCTTATTGTGCCCATGCTCCTCATTTTGTAAATCAAAAACTAGGGAACAAAAAGGGTTTAATGAACTGGCCAAGTTCCTGGAACAAGCTAATAGCAGAGCCGGAAGTCAGATTTCCTAATTTCTAATGATATCATCTTAATTATCAGGGGGTTCTAGAATGAACTTTTTCCATTCTAGAGTCATAGAATGGAAAAAGGAAGAAAAATACCATTGATTAAGTACCCACTAGAGACAAAAACTTTGCATATGTTATGTCATCTAATTCTCCTCATAAACATATGATACTGATAATATCTGCAAATTTTAAAGAAGAGGAAACTGAGAATCAATAAACTTAATGTTTTCCCCAAGTTCACATACCTAACATGTAATAGACACAGATTTGGAACTCAAATATATCTAGTTCTGAAGCCTATGGCTTCTTTATTTTAACCCAACCATAGAGTTGGAAAGACAATCTAGTAAGAATTCTTAACTAAGAACTTCATTGAATACAATCCCTGAAATTGGATCTTCTGATTTTTATTTCCCCCATCAAATTCCAAATTTCAATATTTAAAAGGTTTCTTTGGACATTTTCCTTTACTAAATGATCAATATGACTACGGAATATAAAAATTCAATAAACATATATAACATTATTGGATGAGTTACTAGAAGCCATTGCCCATGTTTATTATTCCCTATAAATAATATCCGATTTATTTTATTCATAGCACTGTCATTAAACAATAATTAATTTTCTGTTCTCTTCACTAAAATGTAAAATCCCCTAGAGCAGGGACCAAAGGGAACAGGAGCTGCAGCAAATGTTGGTTCCTATGTGTATTATCTGTGTCACAAACCTGAGGGGAGCGTTTCCAGTAGAAAACTGGAATCTGGAGGTGCAGAGAATCTCAGCGTGCTTAGGACATCCAGCTCTGTGGGTTGGTTTCCCCAGATAACAAAAATATGCTTCACAATTTGAAAGCATGACAAGCATCGCTAACTTGCAGAGTTAGAACTGACCAAATTTACAATTCTTTGAAATCACCGTCTGTGAAATGATGTGGACTTGAAGAGATGAACGGAAATTTACTCCAGATTAGATTAAATCATGTTAAAAAATTAAAAAAAAAACACAAAACCCTGTACAATCTATTCTTCCTCAACCGTATCTTTTTAAAAAATAATGAATATACATCTTGGCAACGTTAATGAATATAAAATAAATTACACACATACAGTAGTCCCCTTTTATCCACCATGGTATGAAAATATTAAAAGAAAAATTTCACAAGTAAATAATTCATCAGTTTTAAATTGCCACGGTTCTAAGTAGCATGATGAAATCGTGCTGTCTTGCTCCATCCCACCCATGGTGTAGTCATGGAGTCATGGACTCATCCTTTTGTCCAGTGTATCCATGCTGTATACACTACCTGCCTGTCTGTCACTTAGTAGGCATCTTGGTTAGCAGATAGATTGTTGCGGTATCACAGTGCCTGTGTTCAAGTAACCCTTATTTTACTTAATAATGGCCCCAAACTGCAAGAGTAGTGATGGTGGCAATTCGGATATGCCAAAAAGAAGCCATAAATCTTTAGGTGAATACGTGAACACTCATGACTTAGTAAGGAAAGAAAATAAAAGGTGTGCGGAGGTTGCTAACATCTACAGTAAGAATGAGTCTTCCACCTGTGAATTTGTGAAGAAGGAAAAAGAAGTCTGCACTAGTTTTGCATTGTACCTCAAACTGCAAAGGTTAAGGCCACATTAAAAAGTTATGCATTCCTGTAATCGCAGCACTTTGGGAGGCCGAGGCGGGCGGATCACGAGGTCAGGAGATCGAGACCATCCTGGCTAAGACGGTGAAACCCCGTCTCTACTAAAAAATACAAAAAATTAGCCGGGCGTGATGTTGGGCGCCTGCGGTCCCAGCTACTCCGGAGGCTGAGGCAGGAGAATGGCGTGAACCCGGGAGGCGGAGCTTGCAGTGAGCAGAGGTCGTGCCACTGCACTCCAGCCTGGGCGACAGAGCGAGACTCCGTCACACACACACACACACACACACACACACAAAAGTTATGCATTCATGATAAATGCTTAGTTAAGGCGGAAAAGCCATTAAATGTGTGGGTGGAACACTGCAACCAGAAAGCTTTGAGCCCATAGGAAGATACCAGCAAGGGATCCCCTGAAACAAGTGACACCCAGATGCTTACTGCAAGTAAGGGATGGTTACACAGACTCAGGAATATAGAAGGTCAATAGTAGCCTAAAGCTATGTTGTAATGCCTGTGCCATTCACCTCACTTCATCTTAACATGTAGGCATTGTATCATCTTACATCATAAGAGTGAATACAGTACAATAAGATATTTTAAAAGAGAGATCACATTCACATAACTTTTATTACAGTATATTGTTATAATTGTTCTATTTTATTATCACTTATTGTTAATCTGCTACTGTGCCTAATTTAGAAATGAAACTCTATCATAGGTATGCATGTATAGGAAAAAACAGTATATATATTGAGGGTCCTCATCCAACCTCCTGGTACTGATCCATGGCCTGTTAGGAACCAGACTGCACAGCAGGCCAGCGAGCATTACCACAGCATTAGATTCTCATAGGAGTGTAAACCCTATTGTGAACTGCGCATGGGAGGAATCCAGGTTGCCTGCTCCTTATGAGAATCTAATGCCTCGGAAGCCGTTCCACATCCCTCCCCGCCTCTCCCTGCAATCTATGAAAAAACTGTCTTCCATTCAAGGCACTGGTCCCTGGTGCCAAAAAGGCTGAGGACCACTAATATGTATTAAATGCAGTTTAAATACATTTAGTTAATTAAATACATTTAATTAAATACATATAATTTAATTAAATTACATAATTAATTAAATACATTTAATATGTATTAAATGCAGTTTCTGGGGGTTTAAAAGGTATCCTCCACAGAGAAGGGAGGACTAGTGCATAAACTTGCTGTCTTAACAAATTATTTAATTATTTATGATCTTCTGCAATTTTGGTTAATATCCTTAGCACAAATACTGTTTTATGTCATTTTAAAAATTGCTATTACAATCATAATTAATATTTATATTTGAAAATATTTTATTTTGCATGATTCAGATTCACAAGATAAAAAAGCATAATTCATCTAATTTGATCTGTAAAGTAACAGTTTTTCTAAGTCATTATCACTTTTTACATTTACACAGAGTAGCGAGATGGTGATCAGAGTACATCTCCAGGATATATAAAGATGCTTAACGTGTCGTACAGAAATGAACCGTCTCACCTTGTATTTAATGGAAAAAATCACCAGAGTGATTTCCATTATTCATGTAATATAACTGATATGTTCATGGAACACAATTTTGCTCACTACAACTGCATAGAACAAGATCATGATGTTGAAATTTCATGCAAAAAAAGCCAAAAAACACTTTCTGGATTAATTCATATAGTATGTTCCTGTGAAATATATACAAGTCTTCTATTTCTTGATGTTCATTCTCAAAACAAAATTTCAACTCCCTTCTTCAGCAGCCATCGTTTGTAACATTTCCACAGTCATTGAAATGTTTTGTAGTGTACTTGGTTGAATTGCTCAGTGGAGATTGACTCCCGTGTCAATTTTTCATTCCACTTTTTATACAATTCCTTCAAAGCTTTCACAAAGGTGACATCTTAAATCACAAAGCTTGGCCAAAAGAGAAAAATTCAAGGTTGTGCAGAAAATGATCATAATGTAAGATAAATGTTATATTGCAGGGAGAAGACAAACTTAATAATTGCTGTTCTATTAATCTCTTAATGGACATAACTGGAGGAGCTTCAAGAATAGCAAGATCCTCTATGATAACAAGTACTTTGGGGACTTTTATACAGAAACAAATGGATTATGCAAGATCAGAAATGTCAAGGTCCATGTATCTTATTCCAAGATATGATATAAAAGCTATGAATGTAGAATTATATATATATAATTTAATGTCACTTCAAGATTGGCTGAAAATGTTATTTGAGCTTGGATTGACTTTCATCTATTAATTAATGCTAAATTATTATTTTTTATCAACAGGGGTCTTAACGAATTCTTCTTCTCTATCTTAAAAGATGATGGAACCAATAAAAATTGATATTAATTGTAACACTAAAAATTGGCTGGCTAGACATTCCATAGTATACACAAATGTGAACTGCACTACTGTAGTGGCTACATTTCTGAAAATAATTGGATACATAGCTTTGCTGGAATCTTCATTATGGGGTATTCACAACATTCTCTTGCATTATATTCTACTCTCAACTCACAATAATTCAAATTGATCTTTAAAAAATTTACATAATCAAAAACACATATACATATCTATCTACCATCATCACCATCTATCAACTAATCTATCTAATCTAACTCTCTGTTTTTCTATCTACCTATCTATGCATAATTAGACATTAAAAGGAATAAAATAAGCTTGTTTTAGTAGTTGCAATCACTTGAAATAGACTTATTAGATACAGGAATAATTCAGTTAGATATTATGAAGATAAAGGTATTATTTCTTTCATTATGAAAGTATTTGATGTTCCATTTTAAGTAACTACAAAAGTAGGTCTACTTCTTAAACCATTTTAATATCAACTAAAGAATATAAAACCCTGAGGTATGCATTAAGTTGATATTAATAATGTAATTATCAATTCCCAGAACTGCATATTTTGTATATTATCTTGTTTCACAATTATGGACCCAAAGATTTTTTTAAGTAGTAAACATAAATGAATTAAACTCTGAATGACTGGGCAAGTTTAGTAAGTTTTCTTAAACAGTTTATGAAATACTAGCATAGGTCTTTATTAAACACAAAACTTTTAGAATAGTTTGTCTCTACTTAAATTCACTGTATTTTAGATATGCTGAAAAGTGCTATTATATTCTTCTTCTTTTTTTTTTTTTAATTAAGATAATGTCTTGCTCTGTTGCCCAGGCTGGAGTGCAGTAGTGTGATTATGGCTCACTGCAACCTTGAACGCCTGGGCTCAAAAGATCCTCCCACCTCAGCCTCCTGAGTAGCTGGGACTACAAGTGTGTGTCACTGCACCCAGCTAATTTTTGTAGTTTTTGTAGAGATGGGATTTTGCAATGTTGCCCAGGCTGGTCTCAAATTCCTGGGCCCAAGCAATCCACTTGCCTGGGCCTCCCAAAGTATGGTGATTACAGGAGTGAGCTGCTGCATCCAGTCTTGTGCTATTATATTCTTAAACTGGTATTTCAATGTAATGTTTCAAAATAAATAACTCTACCCATTATTCATTTTTGCTTTCCTACACTACCCTGCATTGAATAAAATATACACAATGTGAATGAAAATTGAACAAAACAACAAAAAACTACCTCAGGCTAACAGAATACAAAAGACTAAAAACATTTTTAAAGAGCTACCCCATTTTGTAACACAATTATAAGAAAACAAAAAGATAGATGATAACTAGATAGATACATAGAGATAGAGATGGCTCTAACTGAAATAAATAACATCTATAACTGACGATTTACATGAAAACTGAACCTAATGATAATGTAGTAGTTTAAAAAGTATGTCAATATCAAAAACAGGTCAGCTTCAGTCTGTTTTTTTTATAAATAAAATGGAAAGTCCAGTGAATAATGGTACAGTCAGACCACCTGCAAACGTGCAGCTGTTTTTTAAAGTAGTGCCAGAAGAACTTCTATAAACCATGCTTATTATGAAGTGGTAAAACAAGAGCATTAATTGGGAGGCCTTACATGCTGGTTGATGGTCAGTACCACTGATGTTACGTGTGCTCCATCACATTTAGAGCCCATGGTCTTTATGTGCCCATCAGAGAGGCTAAAAGCCAATGGGTGCTAGAAGAAAATATCATATCTTGATTTTATGTTATTTTTATAGAAGATAAGAAAGATATCTAATATTATTAATGTTTAAAATGTGATTGACCTTGGCACCTAAACTTAGTGCATATGTCAGATGGTCAAGTCTTGCTTACTGAGGACAGAGACCCTTGAGGGAAGAGGAGGAGTTTCATAAGGTAAAGGGATTGAGAGCAGAGATCTTACAGTTGTATTTGAGCTTTGAGCTTATTGGATATATTGCAGTTTATGGGCAGCTGGCTCGGTAACGGGTTATAGCATTCAATTTTAAGAAACTAGCCCTCACAAAATGGACAGATTGCTTCAAGTTTCCTTCCAACAAACTAAAGATTAAAGACAATGCTGACAATTCAAGCACAAGCGAATCCCATTAGGTAAATTACAAGATAAACATTCTAATCAGGTCTGACAAGAAGTAAGCCAAAACTGAAAATATAACAAGCTTATTTGAAACATACATGGATAGGGGCTGGTTTTGTTGATAGACATTGCCCTGAGTGTGTATACATTGTACAGCATGTATATTCTGCCTTTGTGAAATAGCTTATCTCCATTTTAATGGTCACCAAAATAATCGCTTTTATAAAATATTTTGAAAAATAATGCCATGTATTAAATATATCTATTCCAGCTGAGTGCAGTGGCTCAAGCCTGTAATCCCAGCACTTTCGGAGGCTGAGGCCGGTGGATCACCTGAGGTCAGAAGTTTGAGACCAGCCTGGCCAACATAGTGAAACCCTGTGTCTACTAAAAATAAAAAAATTAGCTAGGCATGATGGCACATGCCTGTAGTCTCAGCTAACTCGGGAGGCTGAAGCAGGAAAATTGCTTGAACCCGGGATGCACAGGTTGCACTGAGCTGAGATTGTGCCACTGCACTCCAGCCTGGACAACAGAGCGATATTCTGTATTCTGTTCTCCCCCACAACCAAAAATATATATATGTATATTTTTATATATAAATTATATATAAATATTATTTTTAATATTTATATATAAATTTTATGTTATATTATATATAATATAAATATATATTTATATTATATATACATTACATATATATAATATAAAAATATAATATAAAATATATATTATATATTATATAATATAAAAATATAATATAAAATATAAATAATATATATTATATACAATATAATATTATAATATATATTATATATAATATAATATATAAGATAAATATATTATATATAATATAATATATAAGATAAATATATTATATATAATATAATATATAAGATAAATATATTATATATAATATAATATATAAGATAAATATATTATATATAATATAATATATAAGATAAATATATTATATATAATATAATATATAAGATAAATATATTATATATAATATAATATATAAGATAAATATATTATATATAATATAATATATAAGATAAATATATTATATATAATATAATATATAAGATAAATATATTATATATAATATAATATATAAGATAAATATATTATATATAATATAATATATAAGATAAATATATTATATATAATATAATATATAAGATAAATATATTATATATAATATAATATATAAGATAAATATATTATATATAATATAATATATAAAACAAATATATTATATATAAATAATATAGTATATATAAATATTTTATATAACTTATATATAAATATATATTTATATATAAATTATATAAAAATATATTTATATATAAATTATATAAAAATATATTATATATAAATTATATATAAATATATTTATATATAAATTATATAAAATATATTTATATATAAATTATATAAAAATATATTTATATATAAATTATATAAAAATATATTTTATATATAAATTATATATAAATATATTTTATATATAAATTATATATAAATATATTTTATATATAAATTATATAAAATATATATTCCATTTAAGTTAAGGCTTTTTCTATTATTCACAAATACAATTATTATTTTTTTAAATACAATATCTCCTGCTACATGTTTCTTAGGCATGAACTTCCTCACCTTGTAATCGTTAAACAGGGGAATGATATCAGTATGATATAGAAGTTATTCACATGACTTTCCCCAGAATACTAACGTTTTGAAGCAGTCAGGGATGAGCTTTCTCACAATCAAAGAGAAAGCCTTAGTAATACTTGAAAACCTTAAGAATGAACCTGAAAATCTATAGAAGTGCCTTTTTCCAGTAGTGGCTTATTAAGGAATTTTAAGAACTGCTCAGCTTTTCAACAGGTTAAGCTGCAAGTGCAGTTCTAGAAACTGCAAAGACACATCCCCTCTCATTTAAAACAATGGATTAATTCGGAAGTCTACACCTGGAATAAGATTCTCTTACTTTTGATGAAAATGGTATCGATTAGAAGCAAGTACTCTTTGAGACCTCCATCTCAAAGGGGAATGTATGAGCCCAAGATTCAAAGCTGCGAAGGACTGACTGATGGTTATGCTAAGTGACAATGCCCACTAAGATTTCACTGTGCTTCCAATATTTGTACAGATTGTTATCGTTGTTTTTGTTCTGTTTTTAAACTGCTCTAGGTTTTGGGTGATTTTTAATTTATTCTATGGGAAAACCTAAGCCTCAATATTTTTATTAGGCCACTTTGTAAGATACAGATTTTTTAAAAGGAATCCATACACAGAGTAACAGCAGAAGTGCCTAATTTAATCATCCAATCTTAAAAATTATGTTTTTCTATAATGAAAAATATATTATTAAAAGTAGATAAGCAAATATATTTACAATTAACTGCATGGTCAAATTTTATTTTATTCATACAGAGGTAGCACAATCAAAAATGTTTTGAAGCCACTGCTCTGATCTGTATTATCCTGAGTGGAGAGCAGAGAATAGAAGCAGACATCAGCTTCAGTGTGGAGAATTAAAGTGAGGAACTCTCAACAGGTCACATAACAGAAACATAAGATGGGTATACTGAAATAGAAATGCATGAAATGATGTCTCCTGAAATGGGATGCTTGGAAAGAAAAGCTAGACAGACCTCAGTCATGCAGCAGACAAGAACGGGGTTGCCCATTCTGAACATTCTGAACACCCATGGCAACATTTATCACATTATGCTCTAGCTAGATGGTTCTGCCTCTACTACCGTATGAGCTCCTGCTATGGAGCACCATGTCTTATTCAGCCTTGTAAATCCTCTGCACTGCACGAAAGCCCTGCTACACAGTAGATAATTCCCAGTATTTGCTGAATGACAAAAATTGATTTATGACTAAAGATGCATGCTCACTTGGAAAGGAAATAGGGAGAAAAGCAAGAAAAAAATTAAGAAAATTTACATTTATCAAGCGGCCATAATGTGTCAGAAGGAGAGTCAGGTACTTTATTTCTCTGAATTATCATTACAGCTATCCTACAAGGTACATAATCCCATTTGCAGAGAGGAAGCTAAAGCTAGAAAAAGTTGCTTTATTCACCCAACATGAACACAGCTAGCAAGTAGCTGGGCCAGAATTAGAAATCTGCTCTAACTTGCAAGTCCATATTCTGGACTCCCTCATGCTGCCAGTAAGGAGTAGGCTTTCTGTTGAGGATAGCTAACCATCACACACTGCAGCCTTTTTGTATCTAACACTGATGCCAGTGACAGGTTTCTTCGAAGTCTAGAGTGTCAGCAATCTTATGGCTAATGATGCTTTCCCAATCAAAATAAGCCATTAATGATTTATTCTTTTCTTTATAGTTCAATTACAATGGATTCATTTTAGTTGAAGAAATGTTTTGCTAGGTGCAGTGGTTCACGTTTGTAATCCCAGCACTTAGGGAGGCTGAGGCGGGTGGCTTGCTTTGAGCTCAGGAGTTCGAGACCAGCCTGGGCAACATGGCAAGACCCCATCTCTACAAAAAAAAATACAAAAGTTAGCCGGGCATGGTGGTGTATGCTTGTAATCCCAGCTATTTGGGTGGCTGAGGCGTAAGAATTGCTTGAACCTGGGAGGCAGAGGTTGCAATGAGCTGAGATTGTGCCACTGTACTCCAAGCTTTGTGACAGAGTGAGACCCTGTCAAAAAAAAAAAAAAAAAAAAAAGGCCAGATGCAGTGGCTCATGCCTATAATCCCAGCACTTTGGGAGGCCGAGGTGGACGGATCACCTGAGGTCAGGAGTTTGAGACCAGCCTGGCCAACATGGTGAAACCCTGTCTCTACTAAAATACAAAAGTTAGCTGGGCGTGGTGGTGGACGCCTGTAATCCCAGTTACTCGGGAGGCTGAGGCAGGAGAATTGCTTGAATCAGGGAGACAGAGGTTGCAGTGAGCCAAGATCATGCCACTGCACTCCAGCCTGGGGGACAGAGTGAGACTTTGTCTCCATTAAAAAAAAAATAAAGTGTTTTAAAACTCAGTGATTTCTATTTCTATATCAACGCGTTGATTGATTTGGTCTCCCTAATGTAAATATAAGATATAAGACTTAATGAAATTCAATTGCATTTGTGAAAGATAAAAAGTTTTCTAAGTCCAAGGTCACTAGGCTGTAATCAAAATATAACTTGCTAGATGAAAACAAACATGCATTCAGCCTGTTTGAAATTTTGAGTAAATAATTCACGAATATTTTTATAGTTCTTACTGTGGGTACATTGATAAGTGAGACTTAATATATGGTGCACACTAGATCTTGGTTAAATCTCTAGTTTAAAGGCAAATAAGTGTTTTAAAATATTGGCAATAGTTATTCTTTTTAAATGAAAACCATTTCTTCTTATCCTTATCTTAGCATATTAATGTCATCCAATAACTAGAGGTCTTCGAGAGATAATATAACCCATAGATAATATAATATATTTCTTTGTTGGCGGGAGGATGGATCAATGTGCCATCACTGCTTTGTCCCTGAGAGGAGAATTAATTATGAAACAAATGGAGCTTAAGCTTCAAGGCCCCTCAGTTGCATGGGCCTCTTCCAAGGTTCTGCTACATCAATGTGCTCATGTGGTCATACATTTAGGCCACAGTCTATTAAGAACCCTCTTTCCATTCCAATTTACCAACCATCACACTTTCCCTTGGGTCAGGTAAGCAGGAGTGGCTGTGGCATTTTGGTATCCAAATAAGGGGAAGTTGTATTGGGTATACATTTAGCTTAGGTTTCGTGGAATATGTGTATGTAGTTTAAGGAAAGGCTGATTTACCTTTTCATTCTTTCTGTAGAAAGTGATGTTACAAAACAGTTGTCAAAGAAAGAGTTGATCAACGAGTATGGAATCAACTAAGGTAGAAAAGAAGGTGTATTGGGCATTTTATAAATAACAAATTGTTATATTTCTGGATCTTTTTGATGTTTGTATTTGCCAGCTTTCATAAATTATTAATTTGTTGTGAAATTCTTCTTTATTCTAAAGCAGTAGCTGATTTTTTGTTCATAATTTTGTATTATTTCTCCTAAATAAGACTCCTAAATTATATTAACTTTAGGTCCTTCAAAACCTAAAGCCCTCCTACCCCTAGAGAGTAATGTAAAACAATTGTAGGGGTTAAACCCTAAGACTGTATAATAGAATTATACACATGCCTTAGAACAGATGAGAAAATCAATTCCCTTTCTCCCCACCAGGAATTAAGAGACCTTTATTCAAAAGAGAGAATAAATGGGAATAACAAGACTAATCTCATATCTATTTGATAATTTCTCCTCTTATTTCAACATCACCCTGGTCAGCAAACAGAAATACAATTGTACCATTCAGAGGTAATATTTGGTACAAGGAAACTTGAAGTAAAGTCATGAAACAGTAAACACTAAAACAGAGTACACTGCCACTTGTAAAACAAAGGAGGTATTATTCTTTCCTTGCCTATCCCAACCTCCCCTTCTTGATATTTCTGAACATTCTTCCCTCTGTACACACCTAATATCAAAGGAAAGGAACCTACAACCCTCATTCAATAATTAAATATTATTATACAGCAGTAGTGGGTTTTATATATATACTCAGAACACTAGGTAAGACCTATAGATAACTATCCCCACATAAAAAACACCTGAATCTCCAAGCACTCGTATGTTCGTATCACCCCAAACAGATGAGTTAGTAGAAAAGAAGGGCCTCCACTAACTAATGGAATTTAATGCTGAAAAGGTTAACTCATATAAATGTTGAGACAACATGTACCATAAAGCTGTCATACACAGCCAGATACACAAATCAGAGCTTTTGCAGATAAGTGATGAAAGGTCAGCAGAGTACACTGAGCTTACCTTTCTTCCTGGAAAGCAAAATTAACAACTGAGGTTCATCTGCTTTACAGCCATATCTAATGAATGAGTTCTGCTACTTACATTTCATCTTTGAAAGAAAATATAGACATGTACATGTGAAAAGAATTAACAATAGGACAGGAGGTGTTTTCATATTTCTAGACACAATTGGTTGGCAACATTTAAGTTTAGGAAAAAAGAAAAAATATCAATTATATATAGTATATGATAATATAAATAGAGCCCTTTTATTGTTCTCCTGATATACTGACATAACTGCTAATGATAATAATAGCTCAAATTTATTAAGTGCTGTCTATGTGTCAGGCAGTTTTTAAAAAAGCTTTATATGCATTAACTCAATTAATCCACACAATATCTTAGGTAGCTACTATTATTGTCAGGCCCATTTTACAGATGATGAAATTAAGGTACAGAAATGTTGAGACACTAGTCAAAGGCACAAAGTCACAGTACTGGTAGGGTAGGGATTCAAATTGAGGCAGTGTGGATGCATAGCCCAAGCTCCTCACCTTCAAGCCATATGTATAATAAGCTGACCTCCAGGGCTGTTCTGAAGAATTCTAATTAAACAGGGGGCCCTGGAACTTTAACGCAATTTCCTGTTTCTCTGATCTATGCCTCAACTTTGCTTCAGAAAACAGAGTTAACACACATGTTCAATATAATCAGTGCCTTTAACAAGATCATTTTGTTAATCTATAAAAGAAAAACAAAATGATTCAGGAAATTTATGGGAAAATGAAAGCTATTCCTTTGCTCCAATTTGGTGTGGAAAAAAAATTGTCCTCCCTTATTCTGTTCATCAGGTAGGTGTCAAAATAGCGAAACTTTCAGTGAATTGTCCAGCTTAATGGTTCCTCCCTCCCCCACCCCATCCAAACAGGGTTGTAGTAATTTAGGGAGAGTTAGATGATCATAGAAGACACCAGTCAAATGCTGGAAGCATCATCTTGTAACAATGCCTAAGAGTCAGAGCTAATTCAAGTCTTCAAAAATCACAGTCCCCTGCCAAGAATGACAAAAATTGCATAGGAGTATGTTATTCTTAGAGTGACAGACACTGAGGGCTGGATGCATCAACAACCATTCCCAACCTCCCACTTCCTCCTGGAGCGCAGCAGCCCTTTGTTGTTCAAGGGGGAAAGACTAGGAAAATCTTAGAATACCGAAGCACTGTTAATCTACATCTGCGCTTCTTGTTACGTCAGATATAGAAACCCTCTATTATTTTCAACATTATGGGCAAGTGTTCTCTTATTTTCTGACAAATGTAATACTGATACACCGGAAGAAATAAGAGATTGGGAGGGGCCAATTGCATTGGTAAGGAATCATTTTTAGGCAGCAGGAAGTAGTTGGTATTGAAACAAGGACATTTCTCATAGTTGTACATGTATCAAAAGATATACAAGTATGATAGATATATGATATACAAAATACATACAACTATGATAGATCAATGAAAAATACAAATTAATTAATTAAAAAGAAAAAAGAGAAGGTAACCTGGCAACATATGAAAGATGACTAGAAATGAGTAGGTACAACATCTTTTAAAGTGAGGGGATTATGGTTGATTTTCTTTTTAAACTTTTATTTTAGAATAATTTTAGGTTTATAGAAAAATTTCAAAGATAGTGTAGAGAGTTCTTAGATAACTACACCCTGTTTTCCCTATTATTAACACATTACATGAGTATTACATGAGCATTATTATTATTAACTAAAGTCCATACTCAACAGACTTTACTCAGACTTTCTTAGTTTTCACCTAATCCTTTTCTGTTCCAGGATCCCATCTGAGATACCACATTATATTTAGTGTATAATATCCACTCATAAATATTTATTTTATAGTTCAGAGTATAGGCCAATACTTTGTTTCATTACTCAAAGTGTTCCAGCTTCATCTATTGGGAGAAACGGCCCTGCAAAGCTGTCTCTTGTGGGGAAATTTGCATTCTGTAGAGAATCCTCTTCCCTTGCCAGATCTTTTCCTGATTCTGAAGAAACTAGCTGAGAGTGTAGCACCTTTTAAAGGTCTGAATAGAAAACATGTGCCATCTATTGCCTCTTAGGGGGGCCACCTATGAGACTTCATCTACATAATATGAACACTGGCTTCCACAACCCTTACCTTAACCCAGACACTCCTTTCTATTGATTTCAGGTCTTTAGACAATAACTTAACTCTTTTAACTGACTGCCAATCAGAAAATCTATGAATCCACGTATGATCTGGAAACTCCTGCTTCCAGATGTTCTGCCTTTCCAGGCGGAACTAATGTATACCTCACAGGTATTGATTGATGTATTTTGTCTCCCTAAAGTGTATAAAATCAAGCTGCAACCCAACCACTTTGAGCACATGTTCTTAGGACTTCCTGAGGCTGTGTCACAGGTCATGATCTTTCACCTTGGAAACCCAAACTTCTAAATTGATTGAGACCCATCTCAGTTACGTTTTGGTTTGTGTGTGTGTACATATATGTATATATATATGTACACACACACATTATATATGTTTATATATATATGTTATATATAAATATATATACAGCTATCCATATAATTATACACTAGTTTTATATATATAATTATCAGGCAAAAATAATCTAGATGATCTAAAAGTCCTTTAAAGGAATTAAATATGGAATTTTTATCATCTAGATTATTATTGTCTGTTAATAGCACTGAGAATTGAGAAGTGAGTATAAAAATAGGATTCCAAAAAAGAAGGGGAGCTGATATTTCTGGGCACTATTATATTTCCACTTTTTTCCTCTCAAAAAAGAATCATTGACTACTTTATGAAGCAAGCCAAACAATTTGTGCTATTTTGAGAAAAAGAGGATGTCCCAGCTAAAAATAAAAAGAAAAAAATTTAAATCATATGTTTATTATTGCTTTTTGCCAGACTAAGTAGAGTTTGTCACCATCTCTGATCCCTGGCTGACTGGAAACCCAAATATTTTCAACATTAGTTATTTGGCTTATGAGAATAAATCTGATGTTCTCTTACTTTTGACTTTGAGTGTAAACGCACTAGAATCCATGACAATAAGATCCATATTACACTTCCACATGTTAAAGATTACATCCAACATATAAATAGCTATGACATTTAGAAGAAAATAGTGCTCTTCAATCAGCATTAACATTTAAAAAATATTAAAATGGCTGCTAAGTGCCAGGTGCTTTACATAAACATAAATCATTTCATTTAATCCTCCTGGTTAGTAGTCCCCTGAATCAAGTGCTCTGGATTCCATTTTAAAAATAAAGGTGAAGTAATTTGTTCAAATACCCCTGTCTAGTATGCTGAAAAGTCCAGATTTAAGGATGTTTTCCTGACTAAAATTCATATAGAGTACATACAGAACCACTCATATGCTGTGTATATATTAGAATCCTAGCAAATTAATCTGTGATAACTCATGGAGGGTTTAATGAAAAGACTTTCCACAAAAGCATGGGCAGGCAGCAAAGAAACCACCAGGGTTTGTCACTATAAAGTCACACCATCTTCCAGGATGCAGCCAACTAGAATTGATTTCCCTTTCCCTCCAACCATAGTGAGGGAGTCTTGGGAACAGACACTGTGATGTAATTCTCTTTCCTCCATCTGATGCCTTGGTTATGTCTCCATGGCCAATCCACCAAAAGGCACAGGGGAAGGGAGGTGTGGGTGTGATCCTCACAGATCTGCCGACCAGAGCAGAGAACAGGATGAGTGGTGAGCAGTGCCTCAGGAGAGGTGAACAGAACAGCTCAGCAAGTACTGGAATTTCTCAAACCATTGGTTTGAGCATAAAAACAACATTCAAATATGGTAATCTTTTATTCTCTTGAAAATAGACTTGACAACCAGCAGCAAAAGATCTCTGCACTGAATCTTTCTAAATGTGTAAGAATGAAAGTTGAGCTTGTTCATGTGGGGGAAACAAAACAAAACAAAAAAATGCCAAAAACTCATGAAGAGACTTTGCTTGCTGGCAGGCAGGGTAAGCCAAGGAAATGCCCCTTTAAGGTTTTTCTTTTTCCATTTTTTTGTAAGTCAGAAGTCTCCAGACACAACTTGCTGTCGGTTAGAGACGAACTTCTGATTCATGAGAAGTTATTCTAGGTTTCTGAAGAAAGTAGCTCTGTCTTTGTCACTGACAGGTTGAATATGTTTAGACAAGTGATAAAACAGCTTTGTGCCTCACTTACATTTTCTGTCTCTACTACAACACTATATACTTAAATGTAAAATATGTATTTATTTCTCAAATCAATATTGCATCTGATAAATGTAGTGTGAACCATTAAATAGAGCCTATAAGGGATCATTGTGAGAATCTCAGACAATCTCATTCAATGAGTGAGAAAAAATATTAGTATTCTCAGAAAACATTAAGCACAGTTTGCAAAATAGGTATTTCCAGCAAGTAAATCCACTCTTCTGCTCTTTTTAACTGTCCTTTGTTTGGTTTTTCTTTTGTCTTGTTTTTCAATATAAATTGCCTAAAATCTGTAGAACTATATACAGGGAATACGTTGTAGATAAATATAAATAATAAAGAATTCAGCTAACTTTAAAAAAATGGTGTCATACTTGAACATATTACAGATGCCTTCTATAAAAGAATCCAACTGTAAGTCTTTATGAATATAAATAATCCTTAATTGAAATTAATAATTCTTCTTATTTTATACAGCTTGATTTCAATATTCCATGCTTACTTCCAAAGTAAATTACACTTTATTGTAATTCTGAAAAACACAAATAAAATGTACATTCCCTAATTATAATGCATGATTTTATTTTTATTAAAATTATTTATTATTTATATAATTATTTTATAATAATTAATTATTCTTGATTTATAAATAATAAAATTATTTATTGTTTTTTATTTAAATTATTTATTATTTGTTTATACTACTAATTATTTATTATTATTTATTATTAATAATAAATAGGGTTCTGTGATAGAAAATAATGGCATGGTAGCCTGCATTATTTAGGGTGGTTAACAAAGGTTTCTCTGAGTTTTAAACTGAGAACTGAAAGAAAAGGAGTTAGCCAGCCAAGAACAATTGATTTTACCTTACCTGCCAACTCACAAAATTTTAGGATTTAATTTGGCCACAATAATCATTAACCTAGAAAATCAAGAAGTAGCTAAAAAAGTTTTTTATTTATAAAATGAAGCAGAACAATATTGCAAAGAGATAAATAGGTATTTTTCTGAAACACATCCAACAAAAAAGACAACAGAAGAAAATGTTCTCCAAGAGGAACCAGCAAACTCCATCAAGTCATTTCTACATCTAAGTCACAGGAAATCTGCAAGGGCCTCCTAACGACTGTTGGATGATAATTAGGTCCTTTTGCTTACAAGGCCATGACACCACATGAAGAAGGGAGATGAATGAGACATATGGAACTTATTTTCTCACAATGACAGTTTATTTATTTCAAATGCATTCACATTCTCAAGATGGTATTATAATTTATTTATTTTTAAGACATTTTAGTGAAAAGCCTCAGCCAGAGATCCTCTATTTATCTAACACATAAAAAAGAAAAATCAAACAAATACAAAAACTGCATAAATTCCCTCTCCCTAACTGGTCCGTATTTCCATATATACTACTTAACTGCTCTTACTCATTGCAGATGGGCGTAGCTCATGGAAGTGGGTCTGAACATGCTTTCTTCCTTCCCATCCTATCATTTACATTTTCTGCCTCACCCACTCCCTAAGCTTATATTTTGTCTATTCATTTAAAAAAAAAAAAAACTGATTTTCCTGCAACATCAGATAATTGCCTGTCTATCATAAGTTTGGCATCAGGTCTTTGTATAGATAGATATCTTTGCCAAACCAAAGGAGAGTAATTCTGGATCTCTTAGAAGATACGGAATTCAAGATAAATCTGTACCAAATTTTACATGGTTAATTCCATCCTCTTAACATAACTGTACTGTTTTCTTTGGCAGGGCTATACTAAAATTTTATTCAAAGTTTCTGACCACCATTCAGATTATTATCGAAAAAATCATAAGCCATTTCCTAACAAATGTACCCCCAAGCCCCCAAGTGATATAGGAGTTAAGAAGGAATTCCTTAGGCAGACAGCAAGGCCATGGGAGTCCTTGGTAAGGCTTTTCTTTTTAATGAAAAGCAGCCCTAAATCATTTTCTAACAAAGAGCAGCCTGAAAGCTGGGAGCTTCCACTGGTGAATGCCGGCAGGAACCAAGGACTAGACATTTTCAAAATGGCAGCTCCATCTTCCCTTCTCTGCCAGTCATGTGTATGGTAAGGAGCAGACAAGATGGCTCCAATCAACTGGAAAGTCCATTTGCATAAGAAGATTAAGATGGGACGACCAGTCTTCTCCTCTTCTCTATGTAAATGTCATGCCTGATTGAACCAATCTATGAGTCCTATCTAAATCAGACACTGCCTCCTCAGACTGGACTATAAAACTTGGGGCATTTGCCACTAGCTGGTCTTTTTCCGCTTGGAGACACCTTCCTTTGTTGAGGAAGCTGTTTCCCTTTCTCTTCTACCTATTAAACCTCCACTCCTAAACTCCTCATGTGTGTCCATGTTCTAAATTTTCCTGGTATGTGACAACAAACGCCGGGTTTATACCACTTCACAAGCTCACTGCACACATTCAGTTTGACAATTCAAGGTTCCCCTTTAATTAACACTAAAAGTTACTGTTGTCGAAGTATATGTAGGGTACTTTTCTAGGTATTGGGAAATAATGTAAGACAAACTCACAACAATGGTAAATAATCGCCCTAAGGAGAAGATAATCTGTGCCCAAAGAGTGGCACCCATTAATTTAACCCTCACTGAGCAGCTGTGACTGCCAGGCAGAATGCTAAGTGCTGGAAATACAAAGATAAACAAGTAGACCTTGCCTTTGACTTCACTGAGCTTACATTCCAGTGTTCATGACATGATTTTTTTAAAAAGATTATAATATCAAGTAATTAAATAAATGAACATATAATTAGGGATTGTGGTAAGTGCTATGAAGGAAATTAATCGGGTTCTGTGATAGAAAATAATGGCATGGCAGCCTGCATTATTTAGGGTGGTTAACAAAGGCTTCTCTGAGTTTTAAACTGGGACCTGAAAGTAAACGAGTTAGCCTGCAAAGAAAAATAGGCCTGTGGAAAGGAGAAGTAGCTCTGAGTGAAGGTGCCTAAGTTAAAAAAAATCCTTGTTGTGTTGTAGTGTAGGAATCACCAGAAGGCCAATGTGGCTAGAATGATATGTCACAGGGAGAGTGGCCCAAGATGAGATTAGAGATAGATGTCATGCTACTTCTATAAGCCATGGTGAGGAGCGCAGGCAGCTCCAAGCAGGGGAGGAACCGGATCTGATTTATGTTTGCTTATTTACTTGCCTGTTTTAATGGCAGCTTTGAGGAGAATATGTCTGAATGAGAGAGAGACATTTCAGGAGACTGTTGCGATACTCCAAGTGCTGATGGCTTGTGCCATAGTAATAGCAATAAACAAAGAAAAGTAGGAAGATGTGAAATATATTTGGGGAGTAGCATTGAAAGGACTTATGAATGAACTAAACGTGAGAAATAAGGAAAATATGAGATCCCATCAAATATTGGATGGTGTTGCCATTTACTGAGACAGGGAAGAAAGCAAAAGGAACTGGTAGTGCGAGTGCACATAGAGTTGCATTTTGGACAGGTCAAGTTTGAGATGCTGACCATGAGCTGGATATCTGAATCTGCATATCAAGGGAGAAGGCTGGGACAGGAATTCAGAGTAGGGGGTGAGCCCTGTTAAAGCAAACTAAATATGGCCTGAGAAGGACTCCATGCTTCTATATATGAGTCCCTGTGGATGAATTGTAACTTAGCTTAGCTTAATGGTCAGATAAGCTTGAAAACCTAACTTAGGAGTATGTGCCTGTAACAATAACCGAGTCTTAGCCAATCCCAGCAGCCATACTTCAATCACTCGTAGATTGCTAAGTGTTCAAACTGTGTTCAAATAAGGCAAACGCCAACCTGTAACCAATCCAGCTGCTTCTGTACCTCACTGCCAATTTCTGTACATCATTTCCCTTTTTTTGCCTATAAATCTTCTTCCACCATATGGCTGTGCTGGAGTCTCTATGAATCTGCTGTGATTCTGGGGCTGCCTGATTCACGAATCATTCATTGCTTAATTAAAATCCTTTAAATTTAATTTGGTTGAAGTTTTTCTTTAATCAGCCCTAATGGAAGAGCTGAAACTCTGAGTATTCAAGGAGAAGGAGGACTTAGAGAATTAGAGAAGGGGGGAAGGCACCCAAGGTACTTAAAATGATGGGTTGACCTAATTGTAGAATAATGAATAATAAACTTGGCTGCAACTTAAAGAAAAAACATTAGAGAAATAAGAGCCAGATTCAGAGAACTTCTATATTCAAGCTTATGATTGTGTTGACTTAAGTTTGGGGAATTATCAAGGGCAACTGAGTAAAGATGTGGAGTGGGAGGTGTTGTGTGTAAGAAGTATATTGTTAAAACAACTGTGACTGCACATGTATAGTGTTCGGAAGCAGGGAAAACCTTAGGCTCATGCGGGGATCTTTCAGGAGATTACTTCAGTAATCGTGGTGTGAATGGATGAATGTTTGGGCTGAGATTGTGGTCACAGAGTATAAAGGAAGAAAATAATAAAGTAACATTATAAAAATAAAACATCAAAAATATTTGGTGCCTGAGATAGCAAGGAAAGAAATAAGGGAGAATAATGAGGTGAACATGTCATTTATACCTCTTTTCCTCCTTAACTGTATACATTGGCAACATGCCCAAGCAGTGCACAACACGTATGTCTTGCTTCATGCTTTGTTTCCTCTGGAATGACAGGTACTAATTTACAAAGCAATAGTGGAGGACATTAGGGCAAAACTGAAGATTGCTGGGCCAAAGAAGTTCCAGCATAGCAATAAGAAATGATGAAGGATAAGATTAACATCTACAAAACGTACGCTTTGACTAAGGAAACATGCACAATAACATGTCTTATGCAGTTCACACAGCATAGCATTTCATCTTTTCACTGTTCCGGCTCATGTTATAATGGAAGAGGGTGATCACCAGAATGTAAATATTGTAAAAGTACACAAACTAAACCAGTGATAGGAAAAATATAATCACCAGCCAGAGCTAGCTGAATGACAAGGCAGGTTAGTAGTCGTTTCATGTTTAATTTTGGCATTTTTGTTCATGTGTTTTTGAAACAGTATCTGGCTATAGGCAATTCTTTCCTTTTTGTGTCCTGGTTTTACCATGTATAAAAGGAAATCATTTAATCTAGTGAAGTGGGAGGATTATGTTTGAAAGAGTGTGTGTGTGTGTGTGTGTGTGTGTGTGCGTGCATGCACAGAATAATATATGTTCTTATAAGGGACTGAGAAAATCTAAAGGGAGAAGATAGATATTAAATACTGATTAAAATGATCTGAGAAAGCCAGTATTAAACATAATGCATTCCTCTTAAAGCATTTTATTCAAAATATCAGTAAGAAAAGATTTAATAATATTAATAAACAACCTGCTCACAAAATATGATGAGTAGGAAAAGTGACTATGATGAATCATTTTAATAACTAATGAATAGATAAGATGGATGCCAGCAATTGCCTTCTCTAATGCACCTTCATTCTCCTGGTGATGGACAAATTATTTTGTATTGCACCTGGGGTACACTATTAAATTCACTCCTAATCATTCATCATTTCACGGTCGTCCCATCCTCAGGAATTTCAGTTATTTTTAATGCCTACTTTCCTTTAGTAATTGATGCATTCAAAGTGAAGTTATCTATTCTAAGTTAGCCTTGGGTTTCACAGAGACACATGCAGTAAAAGCCTCTTGTTCTTCCAGACTACCAGGCTGGTGATTCTGCCATATGGATCCTAAAGGGGCTGATAGGTTTAATATTAAACCGTAATGAAGAGATGTCACAAAAATATGATGTGTATTTAGCATTTGGTCTTTGGAGAGACCATCTCTGTAAATTGCAGTTCCTTCTTGGCATCTTCATTGTATTCTCTGACTCATATATGAGTGAGCCCTCGTGGGGCACCATATTTCAACAAGTCACCCTGACTCCCCCATCTCTCTACACATTTGCTTTTTATATTCTCCATAAATAGTACCTTACCCTGTAATTCATCTTCCATGCCTAATTCATTCTAAATATAAGCTTCCTGGCCCTGTTTCTGCCATATTAATACACTTCCCGTGGCAAGCACATGTTTAAAAAGAAAATCAATTGTTCTGATTCACTGGACGTGAGCATCTGCATGTTTTTATAATTTATTGTTCATCCTCAGGTCAGTATGATACCAGCATTAAATATTAAGGCTGCTTAGGGCACAATCCTTATCAGAAAGCTTTGCCCTGTTAATATCAGGAAAAATGCTTGAATTTTTTTTTTAATTGTAAGCTCTAAAGCTTGGGTTAGCCATTGTGAGACAGTGGTAAAGAACAAGCACTACCCTGGAGACTGAAACATAACTAGGGGTGCTCAAAAGGAAAGGCTGTCATTTGTTTCTGTTTCTTCCCACCTGCTGCAAAGGCTGTCTCATTAGTAGGCTTAGGCTCTTAAATGAAACTGGAAGTTAAAATTCCAGACTACAGCCAGATGGAAGAATAAATTAGTAAAAATAGTCCATGTACCTAAATATCTGATAGCGGTGAGGACCCTAAAACTTCACTTGTCACTAAAACAGTAGCTATTAGCATGGGCTTATAGAGATACTCAGACCTAAATATCACATTAAAATCATGAGGAGAAGAAATATGTGGCTTATTTATAGAGAATATTTCAACAGTTGTCTGCAAAGTTCATTGTGTATTTAAACGTTTGATGACTATTACTAAAATATGTTGATACTCATTTGGGACTTTATTTTTATCTGCCGAGATTACTCTGTTACCATTTTCTATCTTTGCTCCATAAGTGAACATTATTTAAGTAAATTTATTTAAGGTTCTGATATCAAGAGTTTATGAAATAACTCCTAAAGGACATCTAAGTCTTGGTAGCTTATGACTGAGAAACTGATTCTGTAGCGAATGAAACCAAGCTGTTCTCAAGGAAGGCATACAGCCCAAGCACATCTTGTGTGTGTGTGTGTGTGTGTGTGTGTGTGTATGCATGTGGCTATGTATGTGTGTATGTGTGTATATGTGTGTGTGTGCACAGAAGTGGGTGTCAAACCTCCATCCTTCACATTTTTTCCCTAATGGCCTTTTCCCAGGTCAAACCATGTTTTAATACTATCAACAACCTGCAGCAATGTGTGAAAGTGAGAAAGGCCTTTGCCTAAGACCCAAAAGCAGATAATGGCAGGAGGATGTGCATTATACAGATTATACAGATTGCTTTATATGTACCTGAGGTTCAGGCATTTTTTTTTTCTGAGTACCATACTACTGAAGTTGATATGAAAGGTGCTTCAATCACTGGCATCTGTGCACCTCTCAAGATTCATTTATTTTTATTTTTATTACTACCAGATATACCTTTTCAATCTCTCCAGGTAAAATAAAATCTTTCAGAAACTCCTAGATCCTCCAGACACATTATCACTACCGTTTGTACAGATCACCTTCCTCTGCCTGGAATGCATCCACTCCTTTTCCTTTCCCTCTCAGCTTGGTTAATTTCATATCTTACAAGACATTGCTTCTTAGAATCATCTTGTCTACAGAGGCAAAGCCAACTTGCCAGCATTAAATGCTTTATTTAATGCCATAACATACCAGATAATGTTTTCTTTAACATTTGCATAGAGCATTATGTTTTAATTTATTGAATACCATTGGCAGGATGCAGCTTAGTTGCACAAAGCATTTACTCATTTTCAGGCAAATGCTATTGCTGTGAATGGGGGAAGGAGCAAATACATCACGTTACCTATGGGCACCATTTACTAGTATCCCATTATTGAAAAAGTGAGAAATTCCAAAAATGAAATGATGGAAAACACTACTATGTACAACAAAATTGTTTAAACAAATAGCAACAGAATGTCAACCAAATAAAACACTGCATCTTCATTAGCATCTACCATGTGGTCAGGGGCTCTGAGCATCAGCTTATGTTCCCTGTTGCTTTGTTTGTTTCACAAATGTTAGAGTTGTTTCTCTCACACCTCTAAGCTTAGTGGAGTGCTTCAAATGCAACTGGTATTAAATAAACATTTATTGAATGTTACATGAATGAACAACTAATTGAAAGAAGGCCTATGTCCATTGTATTTATTCTACATTTTTTTCTCACAAGTCTTATGGTGACGAAGAACTTATTTTGTGGTAGGTATTAAAGAAAAGTTTAAAAGAAATATTTGTTCCACTTAAAGTTCTTAATTACAAGCAAAAGAGGTTAAAAATGACAAACTTAAGTAAAAGAAGAATTATTAGAATACATCATGGACTCAGAATTAATAGAAACCTTCAGAGCTTCAGAGGGCCAGAAAAAATATTAGATAAACATAAAAAGCAGGAACCCAGAGGCATGGTAAGCAGTCTACCATGCTCACTAACCTGCATCTATTGCCCCCTCTGCAACCAGTTGAGTTGTGTAGCTTCCAACTATTTCTCTTAATATTGTATATCTTACAATTGAAGAGAGCACAAAATTAGTGAAAATAAATTCACTCGCCTATTTTCTGTCTCTATCAGTCTGAGAGAGTAAGGATCTACTATCTTTTGCTTCTTTAAGAAAAGGTATAACCTAACATTTTCTTACCCTCACATAGTAGGAATTTCCCTACCACCAAAACTGCATAAAGATAATTTCCAAATGAAAATAAAAGCATTATGAGGAAAAATAAATGGGTTGGGGGAAACCAAAAAAATACATAATAATTGATCTTGATGATAATTTGAATTGATAACCCACACTTTCTTAATAAACTATCAGTGAGCAATGGTATGTATGTGATACATTCTTATACTTTCAGAAAGCAGCGTATGTGGATACTCTTTTCCTAGGAATTTTACTTACTACATTATGTATTTACTTTTATATACATGACAAGGTTTTTCTCTTGTAGTTTGTAAAGTGTAAATAAATATTTATGAAAGAACCTTTGTTCTGCTTTCCTTCCATCTTGAAACGCTAAGGAAATTTGTTCTTGCAAATAGTTTGGTTCATTACCCTGCTCTGAAGATCAGAGACTTTGCTTTGGTGACTCCTGTATCCTCAATGTCTAGAACACAGCCAGGCACAAGTGCTTAATAAATTCTTGTTGAATATTGATTTCTTGAAGGAGTATATTCCAGAAGTATTATTGAGTAATTGCTTATGATGGCAGCAACAACAAAAATGGAAACAATCTATGTATCCATCAATGAGGAAATAATAAATACATTTTGATGTATCTACATTCACGAGATGTTTATGATATGTTAAATTAAAAAAAAGTCAGTTGCCAAAAACAGTATAAGGTCATATTTTTGTTGAAATATGTGTGTTACTAAAAGTAGTCATAGTAAAATACACTAAAATGTTAGGAGAACTTACCACTAAGGATAGGTTTTGATAGAAAAACTAGAAGGGTCCTTTCACTTCTTATTTTAAGTAATTTCCAGCCGGGCGCGGTGGCTCATGTCTGTAGTCCTAGAACTTTAGGAGGCCAAGGTGAGTGGATCACGTGAGGTCAGGTGCCAAGACTAGCTTGGTCAACATGGTGAAACTCTATCTCTACTAAAAATACAAAAATTAGCGGGATGTGGTGGTGCATGCCTGTAATCTCAGCTACTTGGGAGGCTGAGACAGGAGAATCGCTTGAACCTGGGAGTTAGAGGTTGCAGTGAGCCCAGGTCATGCCATTGCACTCCAGTCTGGGCAATAGAAAGAGACTTTGTCTCAAAAAAAAAAAAAAAAAGAGTAATTTCCTTTTAAAAATTCTTTTATTATTAAAAAAGTATCATATGTTCATTGTAAAAAGTAAGAAAGTGGTGACAAGCAAAACTAAAAAACTAAAAATTAAAATATCAAATGTTCTTAGTGTATGTCCTTTCAGATCTATATGTTTTTATACATAATTTTTTTTTACCAAAATGAGATTATTCTGTACATACAAATTTTCAAGTAAATGACACTAGTGAATGGCCCGAAAGTACATAAATAGATACCCAAGATCATTAGTCATCAGAGAAATGTGAATTCAAACCACAATGAAATAGCACCATGCACCCATTAGAACACCTAAAATTAAAAGAAAGGTTGATAATATCAAATGATGGCAAGAACATGAAGCAACTGGAAATCTTAAACATGCTGGTGGGAATTTAAAATGGTACAAAGAATTTGAAAAACAGCTACCACATTTCTTTTAAAGTTAAACATACACTTAGCAAATTACTCATCTTCTACATGAATGTTCATAGTAGTTTTAGCCATAATAGTTCAAATTCCATCAATTAAAATTATTAAAAATCAATTAAAATTGATTTTATATGGGGCATAATGTATCATATCCAGTGGTCAACTCTCTAAAGCCAGATGAGGGTATGAAGGACTTCTTATCATCCTGCTTTTCTAAACAGAATGATGGGAGTGTCAGATTCTTTTTTTTTTTTTTCTTTTTTGCTTTTATTGCCCAGGCTGGAGTGCAATGGCGCAATCTCAGATCACTGCAACCTCCACCTCCTGGGTTCAAGCCATTCTCCTGCCTCAGCCTCCCGAGTAGCTGGGATTACCACACCCAGCTAATTTTTGTATTTTAGTAGAGACAGGGTTTCACCATGTTGGTCAGGCTGGTCTCGAACTGCTGACCTCAGGTGATACACCCAGCTAATTTTTGTACTTTAGTAGAGACAGGGTTTCACCATGTTGGTCAGGCTGGTCTCGAACTCCTGACCTCAGGTGATCCACCCACCTCAGCCTCCCTAAGTACTGGGATTACAGGCGTGAGCCACCACACCCAGTCATCAGATTCTTGATGTACAGACTTCCTGTGAAATTAAGACTAGACATTCTGGTCCTGTATTTGATCACTTTCACTCTCCACTTTTTCCTATGTACCCCACTTTTGTTTAGTTCCAACTTTTCTAATTTAGGCTTTATGCGGTTTAGGGATGAAAACATTGGATATAGAGTTTGAAGATTTAGTTTTGCTTTTTGCTCAGGGTCTCTGACTTTCTAATGTACACACAGTGTCTAAGCATATTGGGCCAGTAATATAATACCAACTCACAGGGTTATTGTGACTATTAGATGAAATAATGCATAGAAGACTATTTTTCAAAATTGAATACTATCTACTGATACTACATATTAACTGCAATCTTCAAGAGTGATGATGGTAGCGTGAAATTGCAGGTCAAACAAAGTAGATGACTTCTGGTCACCTGGTACTTCTATAAGAACAAAAGCAAGTTAACATAAAGTTAGGACCTTGAACAGCATCAAAGTCCTGTAAATAGTCCCTTGTTCTTGGGACAACTTCAGAACTTTAGAGTTACCAAGTATTTTTGTTGTTGCTTTCCTTTGGAAATTCTGCCTGTTAGGTGCTGGGACAAATGACAAGCATGGTTGAGTATCTATTTCCTATAATGTGAAGTCATCCCTGAAAATACCATTTCAAGTGGCAGTATTCCAGGGATTAAGGGCACACAGGATGTCTGAACTCACTCTCTGGCTCAGAATGAACCCCAGTTCCATTTTAGACATAGCCGGATGTAAGAAACATGGTCACTAAGTTAGGAGTCTTCTGGGCTTTCCACGCTAAAGAAAAAGAGAAAAATGAAAAGAGCAAGAAAGGGATAGGTTTATAAAATTTTGGAACTTTCCAAAAGGAGTTTTGAGATTTGGAGATAATGTTTAATATCACTTTCAATTTACAAATAAAGTAGGTAGGAAATGTCAAGTAGTTTAAAAGGAAGAAATAAATTTTCAGAAAACAAATTGACAATGTGCTAGTCTTAGGATGTTACTCATTATCATTTTATTTCTGTGACTTTACCATGGTGAAAAATAAAATTGCACCATTATCTGAAAAGGCCTTTGAACCTAAATATTGTCTATAAGTCTTCAGTTCACTGAAGGAAATTAATTTTCTCATGTTTAAATTTCATTAGTTCAAAATGCTATTTTTCAAGTATTTAAAATGCTGATTATTACATTTTGCCTCTGAGATTTATGTTTATTTGAATAGAATTTCTGTAGCAGTCAAAGTTGCAAGTTTTCCTTTTTTTTCTTTTTTTTTTTTTTTTTTTTGAGACAGAGTCTCACTCTTTTCACCCATGCTGGAGGGCAATGGTGTGGTCTTGGCTCATTTCCACCTCAGCCTCCCAGATTCAAGCGATTCTCCTGCCTCAGGTTCCTGAGTAGCTGAGATTACAGGCATGCACCACCACGCCCGGCTAATTGGGGTTTTTTTTTGTCTTTTTGTTTTTTGTTTTTGACCGATTCTGGCTCTGTGCCAGGCTGGAGTGCAGTGGTGCGATCTCAGCTCATTGTAACCTCCACCTCCCAGGTTCAAGTGATTCTCCTGCCTCAGCCTCCTGAGTAGCTGGCACTACAGGTGTGTGCCACTATGCCCAGCTAAGTTTTGTACTTTTAGTAGAGACGAGGTTTCACCATGTTGGCCAGGATGGTCTTGATCTCTTGAGCTTGGCCAGGATGGTCTTGATCTCTTGAGCTTGTGATCCGCCCACCTTGGCCTCTCAAAGTGCTGGGATTACAGGTGTGAGCCACTGTGCTCGGCCAGGTTTTTCTTTTAATACTATTCATTTAGGTCCGTTCCAAGATGGCCGAATAGGAAGAGCTCCAGTCTGCAGCTCCCAGCGTGACAGACGCAGAAGATGGGTGATTTCTGCATTTCCAACTGAGGTACCTGGTTCATCTCATTGGGACTGGTTGGACAGTGGGTACACCCCACAGAGGGTGAGCCGAAGCAGGGCGGGGCATCACCTCACCTGGGAAGCACAAGGGGTCAGAAGATTTCCCTTTCTTAGCCAAGGGAAGCTGTGACAGACTGTACCCGGAAAATCAGGATATTGCCACCCAAATACTGTGCTTTTCCAACAGTCTTAGCAAATGGCACACCAGAAGATTATATCCTGTGCCTGGCTCAGTGGGACCCATGCCCACAGAACCTTGCTCATTGCTAGCGCAGCAGTCTGAGATTGAACTGCCAGGCGGCAGCCTGGCTGGGGAAGGGGCGTCCACCATTGCTGAGGCTTAAGTAGGTAAACAAAGCAGCCAGGAAGCTCGAACTTGGCAGAGCCCACCACAGCACCACAAGGCTTGCTGCCTCTATAGACTCCACCTCTGGTGGCAGGGCATAGCTGAACAAAAGGCAGCAGAAACTTCTGCAGACTTAAATGTCCTTGTCTGCACTGCTCTGAAGAGAGCAGTGGTTCTCCCAGCACGGTGTTTGAGCTCTGAGAACGGACAGACTGCCTCCTCAAGTGGGTCCCTGACCCCCGTGTAGCCTAACAGGGAGACACCTCCCAGTGGGGGCTGACTGACATCTCATGCTGCCGTATGCCCCTCTGGGACGATGCTTCCAGAGGAAGGATCAGGCAGCAATATTTGCTGTTCTGCAATATTTGCTGTTCTGCAGCCTCCAAAGGTGATACCCAGGCAAACAGTGTCTGGAGTGGACCTCTAGCAAACTCCAACAGACCTGCAGCTGAGGGACCTGACTGTTAGAAGGAAAACTAACAAACAGAAAGGAATAGCATCAACATCAACAAAAAGGACATCCACACCAATAACCCCATCTGTAGGTCACCATCATCAAAGACCAAAGGTAGATAAAAACAACAAAGATGGGGAGAAACCAGAGCAGAAAAGCTGAAAATTCTAAAAACCAGAGTGCCTCTTCTCCTCCAAAGGATCACAGCTCCTCGCCAGCAACAGAACAAGGCTGGATGGAGAATGACTTTGACGAGTTGACAGAATTAGGCTTCAGAAGGTCGGTAAAAACAAATTTCTCTGAGCTAAAGGAGGATATTCAAACCCACCGCAAGGAAGCTAAAAACCTTGAAAAAAGATTAGACAAAAGGCTAACTAGAGTAACCAGTGTAGAGAAAACCTTAAATGACCTGAAGGAGCTGAAAACCATGACACGAGAACTACGTGACACACACAGAAGCTTCAGTAGCTGATTCGATCAATGGAAGAAAGGGTTTCAGTGACTGAAGATCAAATTAATGAAATGAAGCAAGAAGAGAAGTTTAGAGAAAAAGAGTAAAATGAAACAAACAAAGCCTCCAAGAAGTATGGAACTATGTGAGAAGATCAAATCTACGTTTGATTGGTGTACCTGAAAGTGACGGGGAGAATGGAACCAAGCTGGAAAACACTCTTCAGGATATTATTCAGGAGAACTTCCCCAACCTAGCAAGGCAGGCCAACATTCAAATTCAAGAAATACAGAGAACACTACAAAGACACTCCTTGAGAAGAGCAACCCCCAGACACATAATTGTCAGATTCACCAAGGTTGAAATGAAGGAAAAAATGTTAAGGTCAGCCAGAGAGAAAGGCTGGGATACCCACAAAGGGAAGCCCATCAGACTAACAGCAGATCTCTCGGCAGAAACCCTACAAGCCAGATGAGAGTGGGGGCCAATATTCAACATTCTCAAAGAAAATAATTTACAACCCAGAATTTCATATCCAGCCAAACTAAGCTTCATAAGTGAAGGAGAAACAAAATCCTTTGCAGACAAGCAAATCCTGAGAGATTTTGTCACCACCAGGCCTGCCTTACAAGAGCTCCTGAAGGAAGCATTAAACATGGAAAGGAACAACTGGTACCAGCCACTGCAAAAACAGGCCAAATTGTAAAGACCGTTGATGCTAGGAAGAAACGGCATCAACTAATGAGCAAAACAACCAGCTAACATCATAATGACAGGATCAAATTCACACATAACAATATTAACCTTAAATGTAAATGGGCTAAATGCCCCAATTAAAAGACACAGACTGACAAACTGGACAAAGATTCGAGACCCATCAACGTGCTGTATTCAGGAGACCCATCTCATGTGCAGACACACACATGGGCTCAAAATAAAGGGACAGAGGAAGATCTACCAAGCAAATGAAAAGCAAAAAAAGCAGGGATTGCTGTCATAGTCTCTGATAAAACAGATTTTAAACCAAAAAGATCAAAAGAGACAAAGAAAGCCATTTACATAATGGTAAAGGGATCAATTCAACAAGAAGCACTAACTATTCTAAATATATATGCACCCAATACAGGAGCGCCCAGATTCATAAAGCAAGTCCTTAGAGACCTACAAAGAGACTTAGACTCCCGCACAATAATAATGGGAGACTTTAACACCCCACTGTCAATATTAAACAGATCAACGAGACAGAAGGTTAACAAGGATATCCAGGACTTGAACTCAGCTCTGCACCAAGGGGACCTAATAGACATCTACAGAACTCTCCACCCCAAATCAACAGAATATACATTCTTCTCAGCATCACATTGCACTTCTTCCAAAATTGACCACATAGTTTGAAGTAAAGTACTTCTCAGCAAATGTAAAAGAACAGAAATCACAACAAACCGTCTCTCAGACCACACTGCAATCAAACTAGAACTCAGAATTAAGAAACTCACTAAAAACCACGCAACTATATGGAAACTGAACAACCTGCTCATGAATGACTACTGGGTATGTAATGAAATGAAGGCAGAAATAAAGATGTTCTTTGAAACCAATGAGAACAAAGACACAATGTACCAGAATCTCTGGGACACATTTAAAGCAGTGTGTATAGGGAAATTTATAGCACTAAATGCCCACAAGAGAAAGCAGGAAAGATCTAAAATCGACACCCTAACATCACAGTTAAAAGAACTGAGAAGCAAGAGCAAACACATTCAAAAGCTAGCAGAAGGCAAGAAATAACTAAGATCAGAGCAGAACTGAAGGAGATAGAGACACAAAAAACCCTTCAAAAAAATCAATGAATCCACGAACTGGTTTTTTGAAAAGATCAACAAAATTGATAGACTGCTAGCAAGACTAATAAAGAAGAAAAGAGAGAAGAATCAAATAGATGCAATAAAAAATGATAAAGGGGATATCACCAGCGATCCCACAGAAATACAAACTACCATCAGAGAATACTATAAACACCTCTACGCAAATAAACTAGAAAATCTAGAAGAAATGGATAAATTCCTCGACACATACACCCTCCCAAGTCTAAACCAGGAAGAAGTTGAATCCCTGAATAGACCAATAACAGGTTCTGAAATTAAGGCAATAATTAATAGCCTACCAACCAAAAAAAGTCCAGGACCAGATTGATTCACAGCCGAATTCTACCAGAGGTACAAAGAGAAGCTGGTACCATTTCTTCTGAAACTATTCCAATCAACAGAAAAAGAGAGAATCCTCCCTAACTCATTTTATGAGGCCAGCATCATCCTGATACCAAAGTCTGGCAGAGAAACAAGAAAAAAAGAGTATTTTAGACCAATATCCCCGATGAACATCGATGCAAAAATCCTCCATAAAATACTGGAAAACCGAATCCAGCAGCACATCAAAAAGCTTCTCCACCAAGATCAAGTGGGCTTCACCCCTGGGATGCAAGGATGGTTCAACATATGCAAATCAATAAACGTAATCCATCACATAAACAGAACCAAAGACAAAAACCACATGATTATCTCAATAGACGCAGAAAAGGCCTTCAATAAAATGCAACAGCCCTTCATGCTAAAAACTCTCAATGAACTAGGTATTGATGGAATGTATCTCAAAATAATGAGAGCTATTTATGACAAACTCACAGCCAATATCATACTGAATGGGCAAAAACTGGAAGCACTCCCTTTGAAAACTGGCATAAGACAGGGATGCCCTCTCTCACCACTCCTATTCAAAATAGTGTTGGAAGTTCTGGCCAGGGCAATCAGGCAAGATAAAGAAATAAAGGCTATTCGATTAGGAAAGGAGGAAGTCAAATTGTCCCTGTTTGCAGATAACATGATTGTATATTTAGAAAAACCCATCGTCTCAGCCCAAAATATCCTTAAGCTGATAAGCAACTTCAGCAAAGTCTCAGGATACAAAATCAATGTACAAAAATCACAAGCATTCTTATACACCAACAACAGACAAACAGAGAGCCAAATCAAGAGTGAACTCTCATTCACAATTGCTTCAAAGAGAATAAAAGACCTAGGAATCCAACTTACAAGGGATGTGAAGGACCTCTTCAAGGAGAACTACAAACCACTGCTCAAGGAAATAAAAGAGGATACAAACAAATGGAAGAACATTCCACGCTCATGGGTAGGAAGAATCAATATCGTGAAAATGGCCATACTGCCCAAGGTAATTTACAGATTCAATGCCATCCCCATCAAGCTACCAATGACTTTCTTCACAGAATTGGAAAAAACTACTTTAAAGTTCATATGGAACCAAAAAAGAGCCCGCATTTCCAAGACAGTCCTACGCAAAAAGAACAAAGCTGGAAACATCATGCTACCTGACTTCAAACTATACTACAAGGCTACAGTAACCAAAACAGCATGGTACTGGTACCAAAACAGAGATATAGACCAATGGAACAGAACAGAGGCCTCAGAAATAATACCACACATCTACAACCATCTGATCTTTGACAAAGCTGACAAAAACAAGAAATGGGGAAAAGATTCCCTATTTAATAAATGGCGTTGTGCAAACTGGCTAGCCATTATGTAGAAAGCTGAAACCGGATCTCTTCCTTGCACCTTATACAAAAATTAACTCAATATTGACCAACCCAAATGTCCAACGATAGACTGGATTAAGAAAATGTGGCACATATACACCATGGAATACTATGCAGCCATAAAAAAGAATGAGTTCATATCCTTTGTAATGACGTGGTCAAAGTTGGAAACCATCGTTCTGAGCAAACTATTGCAAGGACAGAAAACCAAACACTGCATGTTCTCACTCATAGGTGGGAATTGAACAATGAGAACACTTGGACACAGGGCGGGGAACATCACACACCAGGGCCTGTCATGGGGTAGGGGGATGGGAGAGGGATAGCATTAGGAGAAATACCTAATGTAAATGACGAGTTAATGGGTGCAGCAAACCAACATGGCACATGTATATATATGTAACAAACCTGCATGTTGTGCACATGTACCCTAGAACTTAAAGTATAATGAAAAATACTATTCATTTAAATCATGCATGTAAATATACAATTTGGCTACTTTGTATCTCATATTAACAAATGGGAGGCATTTTATTTGTTTCTGAATTTTGGTACAGAAATAGTACTGCCTCACTGTATAGATTGTGTGGTGAAAGGGGGAGAAAAGTTATAGAAAACAGATTAGATGACTATCTCTCCTATTTATTAACTGTGTAATCCTGCACAGTACATGCCTAGATTCCTTTATTATGGATTTTCTTCAACTGAAAAATGAGCATTGTTCATCTGCAGCACTGGGATGCATTACTGGATGAGATGAACAATGCTCATTTTTGGGGATGCTCATAACTTGGGGATGGGTGATTGTATTTGGAGGGCAGCATTACCCTCCAAATACCACCACTTCCTAATCTCTAATCTCTAATGCTGTGGGCAGATAATCATTTATTTGGCCAGTGACAACTATATGTGTGCCCTAATCTTTGACCTGACCTGCTCCCCACAGTTCTAGCCAAACTGATCACCTTGCAGTTCCTCAAATAGGACAGGTATAGTCCCACATCTAAACCTTGACGTTTTCAGTGTCTTCTGCCTAGAAAGCTCATCACACAGCAGCCTTCCTTAGGCCTTTGCTCCTTTGCTGAAAATTCACCTTCAAGAAGTCTGTCTTGACCATTTGCATAAAAGAACACTTTCCTCCACCCGTTCTTTTTTACATCCTTTATTCTGCTATATCTATCTTTATGACCCTTACTGCCTGGCATAGTTTATATTTACTTTATTAAGCATCATTAATACCTATATTATACCATTATTAAATATCTTCTGTGTCTAGCATGTAAGATTGTTGAGGGCACAGACTTTATCAGTTTAATACACTGCTGTATTCCTAGAACTCAGAATAGTATTATCACACAATGCAAATCAACAAATATTTGTTAAATGAATGAAAAAAAATGAATCAAGCAAAATTTCTAGTGGTTAAAAAAACCAAGTGACACTTTAAACCTTCTTATTAGAAATTCATTGCAGATCATCAAGTCAATGGTAGAATCTAGATATTGAAGTATTATTATAAAAATTTACTGATTTGAATTTGTGCATGTATTCCAGAAAGGTTTAGGAGAAATCTAATGTCCAGAAATTCCCAACATAATTCATAAAGCTCTATACCCTCACACTGTCCCCTTTTGTTTATAGAACCAGTTGGCACTCAAGATCTCTCAGAAGAACACATACATTTAGATTATTTTGGCTGAATTATACTCTAGTCTTTGTATGAGTTGAGTTATAAGCTGGCAGTAAAATTATTGTAAATTTTTCTCTGATATCTCACCCTGACACATAAATAATGAATAAGTCTAAAAGTGGTCCCATAACTGAAGGGTAACATACTATTTAACTATAAGTCAGAAAGCAAACTGTGTAAGTCTGTTTCCTTATTGCTTTTTCCCAGTTAAAAGGCTAGAAATCAATTTTTCTCAGATATTCATGGCATGGTGATGAAAACAGTATTGGAATCCTGACAAGTTATCTTTATCCAAGATAACAAGGTAGAGTGAAAGTTGGTTAATAACCACTATGCGATGTCTGAGAATGACCCCATCACCATTAGGTGAGAATTAATTGATTGTTTTATAGTTTTATCCAACAGAAATTTAAAGTGTTGACTTCAGAAGAACACTTCCCTAATCCTAATATTTGATAGTGGGTTATTTATGCTGTACTGTTTGACTTATTTTACTGCAATAGCAATAGGTAAGATATTAAAGTAGTATCTCTCAACAAAAAGTGTCAATAATAATAATAAAAAAAACCCTGAATTATGAAAGTAGACCACTGTTTCCAAGTCCCTTACCTCACAGAAAGCAGATTGGGGGTGGAGATAAAGTGATTGTGGGAAGGCAGCTTTTTTGTGCGTGTGGCTTTTAGACATGTAAGTAATAACCCCATGAAAATAACATAATAGGTGGAAAGATTTTTTAAAATTATATTTTTGAGGCTAGGCACTGTGGATCACTCCTGTAATCCTAGCACTTTGGGAGGCCGAGGCGGGCGGATCACCTGAGGTCAGGAGTTTGAGACCACCTGGCCAACATGGTGAAACCCCATCTGTGATAAAAATACAAAAATTAGTCAGGTTTGGTGGTGGGTGCCTGTAATCCCAGCTACTTGAGAGGCTGAGGCAGGAGAATCATTTGAACATGGGAGGCGGAAGTTGCAGTGAGCCGAGATCGCGCCATTGCACTCCAGCCTGGACAATAAGAGCAAAACTCTGTCTCAAAAGAAAAAAGAAAAAGAAAAAGAAAAAAAATTATATTCTTAAATTTAAACAACCTCTTAGCTAAATAAGCTTTTCTAATAACTTTGAATTGTTTTCTATTTAGATTAAAAAATGCATTCTAGTGTAATCCTCCCAATACCCACCAATGGTAGCTATGATTATTTTACTTTATTTTTAACTCTATTAACATAGGTGGGAGTTTCCAATCCATAATCAGAATATATTAGTAACTTCACTTACACAGTTGTGTTGATTACTTCTGCCTCTGTCAGGTAGGTAGTGATTAGGGGCACTGCTATGTCTTAAGTGTGCGTAAGCAAAAAGGGAAAGAACAGGGAATATAAAAGGCAGGGAAAAATCCTGGGAAGGCAAATACACATAGTGTATGTAAATTCTAAATTATGTTAACAAATACACACTAATGATTTATATTAATATATACATTAATGTACCTATAGTTTGGGAGTAAGACTTCAGTTAGGATGAGACACTGCTACTTACTAGCTATGTAACTTTGAACAAGCGCCTTAATCTCCATTGGCCTCAATTTTCCAATCTTTAAAATAGAACAGTAGTGACAACCTCTAGGACTATTGTAAGTAAAGACATACCACAAAGTTGTTTTTCAAATTTGTCTGCATAATAAAATTCTTGTATGTATAATACAATTTTTACACAGGTTGGGTAAAATCATAATTATGACTGAAAATTATCATGAGTAATAACGATAAATTTCCCGGGAAGATTAAAATACCTTCCTTTATTGTCCAGACACAATTCAATACTTTTGACTTGCAAAAGAAAGAAAAAACATATTGTCTATGGTAATGTGTACTATTGCTTCAAGGTTAAAGTTGAAGTGACACATCCTACAAAGTATTAAAAAATGCAGGGAGAAGTGATAACAGATTAGTATTTTCCAACCTCTCGGTCAATGATATCTCTCTGTTAAACTGGTGCCATGCACCATGACATTTTCAGAGATAACTGGCTATTGGTTCCAACCCTATTCCAATGTCCAATTTGTCATCCCCTATACACCTACATCTGCAATATCCCCATCTCCCCTAAGATTCACCATGGCTATCATCATTTCCATACACTATAATTGGACAACAAAATGAACTAAAACAACAATAAAACAACAGAATTATGAGATACAGCAACAATTTCATTATACCAATACAAATTTGCTTGACTTTGATCACCAAGCAAATTATTTAAAACTAAGTACAACTCCCATTGCAATTTATACGGGACACATCCAAATCATTATCAGAAAAGGTGCAAAGTGTTCATTATCTGCTCCTCCAGGTAAATACAAATACAAATCTCGATCATTTTTTAAGTTCCTAAGACACTGGGTTTATGTTGTGTGTATGCGTGTGTTTGTATGTATGTGTGAATTGTTACTAACAACTGCTAACTCTGTGGAATAGAAGACTAAAGGTATTTTTATTTAATTCTGTAATCCCAGAACATCATCACAAAGTGGCCTAAATTAACACTTTTGTTTAGGGGGAAAGTTTATGTATTCACTCAATAAATATTTACTAATAGCTTATAATATGTAGGCTACAGAGCTGTGTGCTAGAGATGCTGTAACGAACAGTTCAGCCAGGAACCTGGCCCTCCGCTAATGGATCCTATTGGAGACTCTATATCTCTTTAATCTCTGGTATCAGTGTTAGCTCATTGTGTTTTCTTCCTCCTAAATTCCTAAATCTAGTTTATAAAACTTCCCTAGCATATCATGATGTATAATAACAGTTTATTAACAATACTAATAAAGACATTGAATAATGTATTTCAGGGAGGAGTTTACCTTTTATTTATGTTATCTCATTTAATCTTTACATGAGGAAGCTAAATTAGAATCAATTGTTACATTTTCATAAGCAATTACAACTTTAAAAATATGTTATCAATTATGTTTTAGGGCTTTTTGTGTCACACATTCTACTTAATTATTCTGCACTTAATGAAATATAACTCAGTGATAAAATTTTATACATTTAGCTGTAAAGAAAACCCCATATAGTTCAACATATATTTTGTATCAATGTCAACATTTATAATATACTGTGGAAAGAATAACATAGTCAATGGTTTTAAATATTATATTACATAGTCTATGGCTTAAATTTCCAACATGTTTTCTAATTCTTGTTGATTTTTCTGTAAATAAATAGGTGGCTTAACTATCATAGTACTCTTTAGTTTGATGAAATTATATTTTTCCCATGGTAAAACATTTTAAAGAAATTTTTCCCTGTATTAATTAAGAAAATCACACACAAAATACGTTGATATGTTGATTCCTGACAATCAACATTTGGATAAGCAAACTTTCTATGAAATGTCTACTCATGAATTTATACAAATTCATATTTGTGATACATTATTTATATTATTTAATTAAATTTAAATTATTAAATTAAATTTGAAGTCCAAAATCATGAATTTATCAAATTTTTCCTATTATGAGTTGACTTTGCCTCTCCTGCTATTTGCGTCTTGAGTTTGGATAGTAGCTCTGCCACTTACCAGCTGCTTAATTTTTCCTTAACTGTAATTCACAGATAATGAAAGAACTTAGAGCTAGAATGCAGACCTCCCGACTCATGATCCAGTTTTCAATTATGCTAATCTATTTTTATGTTATTAGACATACAGAAACAATAAGAGAACTGTCCAACAATGTGGCATTTTAATGGTAGTATTAACCTAAATAGAAAATATTACTGTACCATCAATCTAATCTTTTAAAAACATAAAGGCAGTCATGAAAATTGAAAGGAAACTTGCATTTTCTACAAAATAATATGTAAAATAATAACTTATTATGAAATATTCAGTTTTTACTGCTAACTCCAACTGGTCATTGGAAAGTATCTGTAGCATTATCAATAGGAGTAAATAGTATGGCCTGACTGCCCTTTGAGTCAGAATCTCATTTACTACCGGTAGGTTCTTGGCTGGGTTAATTGACCTCGCTAAGTCTCAGTCTCCCATGTGTTCATCAGGGTTACTGATACCACCCCACCATCAAAGTGGGAGGATCAAATGAGACAACTTACACGATGCATTTGGCACAGAGTAGACGTTCAATAAACATGAGCTCCCTTCCTCTTCCCCTAGTGCCAGCTGGCTGGCAGACCACATTAAGCAGAAAAAAGGAAGCTATGTTCTCCTTTTTCCAGACAGCTGGTAATGCAGACATCACAGGCTTTCTACAAACAATGTTGACTAATTTTTGCCACAGCTGACGTGTGTATAATGTGCCCTGCCAGTTCTCTCAATAAGCCGAATTCATGACCACGGAATAATTAAGTTGTTTTCTTTATCGCTCCTCATTTTATGAGTCCAGATTGAGGTAAAGTGGCACTTTTGTAATGTTTTGTATATTTCATGGACCTGGAAGACTTCATTTATTGTCCTGTAATAACAACAATAAAAATGTTTTACACTGTTTATTTCTGACCACAGTACTATGATACACATAATACTGCTCCCTCCAATCTGTAGAAGCGACCACTAAGAAACAGGTAAAGTAACTTGTCCAGCATCACCCAGGCAGAAAGTGGCAGGTTAGGATTTGAATCCAGTGTTTTGACTCCTATGCCTGCACTCCAAATTCATAGAAATGATTGAGAGAGAGAGTAGGATTTGCATGTAAAGTGAACAAAGGCCTTAAACTCCCATCTACTACTTCCCATTCAGCCGGGGGGGCAAAGAATACATTACTGAACATCCAGATTGTATTAGCTATGCTGTATTTCAAAATAGAAACCCTGAAATTTCCTCTTGATAGGTAAATATTTATCCCCTTTTATATCACTCAAGTACAGTACATATAGTATACAAATTCAACAGGCAATAACTTCTTAATTATACCTAAAATATTCAACAGTTTGAGAGGCACATTTCTGCTATTTTGGTTCCTTTTACCTAAAGGGAAAAGGCCAAGTAGGGCTTGTGTGTGAATGCTTAGAACAGTGGCTGGTACAACCAGTGGCTGGTACATAAACTCTATTATTTATTATTGTTATTATTTAATTTTCAAAACTACTTACTGAATATACACTTCTCTGATGAATTTTATAGACCACCAAGGAGCATCCTGCTGATGCCTAGGTCTGTATAACTCTGCTGAACAAAATGTGCTCCATGAATGTGTTTTATATACAGGTGTACTTGAATGAGGCTGGAAACAGCAATTCTCACCATCATTTCAATCAAGCAAAATTGGATTTTATCTGCTTTATGAATATTGGACACCTTTGTACAAAGTCATTTGAAGAAAGATTCCACTAAAAACAAATGAAAATAAATAAACAAATGTGCAAAGCTACTGCTATAGTAAAATATAATGATAACAATAATCTCTAATACACATATTGGGCTTATTTAAGCCAGAAACTATTCTAAGTAATTCTCACTATTACACTATAAGTTAAGTTCTACAATTCCCATTTCATAGATGAGGAAATTGAAGCGATTAGATGACTTATCTAAGATAAGTTTAGAATGGAGTTGGAACTACAATCAACACAGTTTAGCTCCTGAATCTGGGCTCTTCAGCACTGTGCTCTGCTGGCTCTGGATAGTAAAGAAAGTTCCTCTTAACACATTTTATACAATTTTCAATCAGTATTCTTGAGCTCTGCACTTGAATGAGAATAATGAATGTACGCTTTCTCACTTCACAATATGACCTGAAAGCAATATGCCCAATAAGTAAACAAAATATAAATATAAAAAGAGATTCTGAAAAAGTACAAATGCAGCTAAATGGAAATAGCCTACTGAGCAGTTTTTCTGGATTCCATTTAAAACATAATAATAGGTAGGTCTAAAATGGAACTGAGGTAAGTAAAACAAAATAACTTTCTCTATGGTTTCTCTAACAGGTATTATGGTGCCTACTTCAATGTTTCCATTTATATGGTGTTTGTAACACTTTATTGACCAAATTCAAAAAGAAGAGACTAAATTCAAGTAAGATACCTAAAATGATCAGCAGTTTCACGTCTGATAAATTAGTAAGAGCTGTCTAATTGCATAATTGATATAGCTCTATCTGCTTATACCCTTTATCCATAGATGATCTCCTGTTGATCAGGTGGCAACTTTAACACAACTTAAGGTTGATTACCAACAAGCTGTGTCACAATACTAAATAAAGTTAATTAAATTTTGATTTATAGAGGCTGTATTTCAACAATGTTGATCCATCACAGGTAGAGTCTTTATCTCTAAAAGTATTCACACTTCATGGGCTTCCCTTTAAAATACAGAACCAAAGCTATGAGAGCCAATCCTGCTAACTAAGCAAAACCCTGGATCCACAGCAGTTATGAGGGACAGACAAATTATATGAAACAATTAATACGGAAGGAGACATGGCACGTGTAGAGTGGGACAGACCAGTCAAAATGCTGGGCTCGTAAGACCACATGGTTCATCAGACCTTCTGTGGCTCCTGGGCGCAGTGTGCACCCTGAAGCTTATCTCTTCTTCATAGCTGTTATTTAGACTAGCCCGGGGCTTAAAGGCAGGATGTAAAATGCAGTCCAGGAAAAATGATTCCTTATGTTCCTTAAGTAATTGTGAACTTGGCATAAGTTTTCTTAAGTAATTTTTAAATCAAAGTTTACTTAAGCTTATTCTATCACATGTCTTGTTATGTTTTGTTTTGTTCTGTTCTCTTCAACCAAATATAGACCATTGAGTTTCTTAAAAAAGGCACTTAAGGCTGGGCGTGGTGGCTCATGCCTGTAATCCCAGTACTTTGGGAGGGTGAGGTGGGTGGATCATGAGGTCAGGAGTTTGAGGCCAGCCTGACCAACAGGGTGAAACCCAGTCTCTACTAAAAATACAAAAAAAAAAAAAAAAAAAAAGTTAGCCAGGCATGGTGGCACAGGCCTGTAATCCCAGTGACTCAGGAGGCTGAGGCAGGAGAATCGCTTGAACCCGGGAGGCAGAGGTTGCAGTGAGCCAAGGTTGCGCCACTGCACTCCAGCCTGGGTGATAGAGCAAGACTCTGTCTCAAAAAAAAAAAAAAAAAAAAAAAAGAAAACAGAAAAAAGACACTTGGTAGTTTCTAAGTTAACTCCAGTAAAAAGCATTTGTGTTTCATTTGCTTAGTCAACAGAGTGAAATTATTTTATTCTTAAAAAATATTAGAATTCCTGTAATCCCAGCACTTTGGGAGGCTGAGGCGGGTGGATCACGAGGTCAGGAGATGGAGACCATCCTGGCCAACATAGTGAAATGCGGTCTCTACTAAAAATACAAAAACTGGCTGGGCGTGGTGGCACGTGCCTGTAGTCCCAGCTACTCGGGAGGCTGAGGCAGGAGAATCGCTTGAACCCAGGAGGCAGAGGTTGCAGTGAGCCGAGATCAGGCCACTGCCCTCCAGCCTGGCAACAGAGCGAGACTCTATCTCAAAAAAAGAAAAAAAAAGTTAGAATTATGACCAGACATATTCAGGTTTAAAGCTTTATCTGAACTGATAAAGAAGTTCTGTGTGAACATAAACAGTTATTAAGAATTCAAGTTTGGATGATCAGTGTTAATAAAAGATGAGAATAAGGAGCACTAGAAAGTCTCTATCCTCTGATATCCATATTTAAATCAGCATATACACTTTCTTTCAGAAACGTACTTTGGAGCAAGGGCTATGTTAAGCCGCACATACTTACAAATTACTCTTTTTAATGTTTAAAATAATTTATACAATTATTATTACTGAGTCTTCTCTGTTTTATTATGATTGCTGAAAGTAATGAGAATAGCTACCATTTTTAGTTCATTGTAATTGTTGTGTTTCCCCTTCCCTTTGGAATTAAGCAGGTGCCAAACATTTATTAGATGCCATCTAAGGTAATTAGTTGCTCATGAAAATGCCATGAACAATGCTCAGGTTGTGGCAACTGAGCTACGATTTTTGATAGAACTCAATATTGATCAGCATAATGACAACAAATAAAGGTGAGGGGCTCAGCGCAGCTGGAGGAAGAAATAAAGAGAGGAAGAGCAGAAAATTTCCAAGGTGGGCCCTCCATGCGAATGAAGAACAGAGCAGGTGTTTGGCAAAGTTAGCTTGGGGGAGGGAGGGATGGACTTAGTGGGGGAGGGAAGGTGTGAAAATAATTGTATTTTGTTTATGTCTTAAAGAAAACGTCCCTAAAATGTGTCACTTAAGGAAGGATACAGTTTCAGCAACAGAAGTGGGGGGCATATCTGCCATAATTGGCTATGCAATAAAAGAGATTTTAAAAACACATTTTGCAGTAGTTATTTTGGCCTTTTTCTTTGAGACAGAGTCTCGCTCTGTCGCCCAGGCTGGAGTGCAGTGGCGTGATCTCGGCTCACTGCCAGCTCCGCCTCCTGGGTTCACACCATTCTCCTGCCTCAGCCTCCCAAGTAGCTGGGACTACAGGCGCCCACCACCATGACTGGCTAATTGCTTTTGTATTTTTAGTAGAGATGGGGTTTCACTGTGTTAGCCAGGATGGTTTTGATCCCCTGACCTCGTGATCTGCCCACCTCAGCCTCCCAAAGTGCTGGGATTACAGGCGTGAGCCACCGTGCCCGGCTATTTTGGCCTTTTAAAGATATATTCAGAATGATTACATGTCTCTCTTGAGAGGCAGTATCCACAGTAGTCATGCTCACAGGCTGTGGAATCAGATTTGAATTCTGACCCTGCCACTAGTTGATGTCACGATTTAACCTGTGTCTCAACTTCCTCATCTGCACAATTTCCCATCTGTGGTTTATAGCATTGTTGTGAGAATTAAAAGTGTATAAGTAATGTAGATGCTTAGGAGAGTGGCTGGCACCTAGTAATAACACACGTTCGCTATTTTTTCCAGACATTATTTGAACCCAATAAAGAATGTTAACAGAAAGGACGATCAAGACAGTCAAATGATGCTGGGAGTACATTTTCAAAGTTTGGTTTTGTTTTACTACTTAGCATATAGATAAAGCCAGCAGAGCAGAAATACAATACCGATCGAGGAATCTAAACTATAGGACTCGAGAGAAGATGATAAAAATGTTAAAATTCTCTAATTATCAGTTACAAAGATTGATTCCCACGTAGGGAAATTTCCCTACAACATTGCCCGCAGCATGGCAGTTTTATTGGGATTGGAATACAGTCCATATGGTGTGCTTGCTGACACTGGAGTTTAGGGGAGTGGGCTCCTCCTGAGCATATTTTACTTCTGTGAATAATCACTTGTCATTTCAAGTCCCCACCCCCATGAGAACTGCAACCTCGGAGTCCTCTAGGGAAGCTGCATTTGTTCCCTTGCTATTATAAGCATTTGCCCAAGATGACTCCAGGACAAAGTTTAATTCCGCTGCTTGTTTTTTTTTGTTTTTCTCTTTCGATTTGTCTTCATGTAACATAGACTCCACAACCACAAATTCCAGCTGAATTACATCTTTAGGGACGTGCAAAGACCTTGGGGCAGGAGAGGCAGAAGTCAGTGAAGCAAGAGTTCACGACATTTTCAATCACTTAAAGAATGATGTTAGAAATTCAAGTACCTTTTCCCCATTACTGGGGAAAATGTTTTCCCTTGACAGGCCTTATTTCAGAATTAGATTGTATGACCCAGTTAGCTAGGCTGACTCAAATTATAGAGCAGGTTGGCAGAAAAGAAACAACTTACAGAATCAAAGCAAGTGTAGGAAAAAAGAATTTGAGCTATCTCTGCCTAATGATCTTCTGAGTTCACTCCTAAGGGATGCTCTACAGCAAGGGAATAAATAGTCATCAACACTTAACTCCTAAAACTTTCAGAGATAAATATTACCTTTAGGAATAAATATGTCACAGCTGGGCTAGAATGATGACCCCATACTTGCTATGTGCACATATTTAGGGAGTCCCTGCACATCAGCACAGTCCTTTTTCCCCCTCCTTTTTGGCATTTGAGAATTGGGCTTCTACTCTGTGAGTTGGAACAGCTCTTCTGAAACTTTAATGTACAAACAAAACATCTGGGGATCTAGGTTAAAATGCAGATTCTGATGCAGGAGGTCTAGAAGAGGCTTGAGACTCTGCATTTCTTACCAGCGCTGACAGGATACTGATGCTGCTAGTCACTGACCACACTTCGAATAGCATGGAGGTAATATAATACTGAGGCCAGTCCTGGACTCTGAATTTTCTTGGGTTCTCCCATTACTATTATTTCTTCTGAGCCAATGCTAGGGGTTGAATTATGTTCCTCAGGAAAGATATGTTGAAGTCCTAACCTCCAGTATCTCAGAATGTGGTCATATTTGGAAATAGGGTCTTTACAGGTCAAAGTGGTAGTCCCTAATCCAATATGACTGGTGTCCTCATAAAAAGGGGAAATAGGGACACAGTGATAGATATGCACAGAGGGAAGGTGATGTTGAGAAACATAGGAAGACAGGCATCTACAAGCTAAGAAACTCCTGAGTCTATCAGAAGGTAGGAGAAAGACCGAGAACAGACCTTCTGTAGTGTCTTCAGAGGCAGCATCAACCTGCTAACACCTTGATTTTACATTTATGGCTTCCAGAACTGTGAGGCAGGAAATTTTTGTTGTTTAAACCACCCATTTGTGAAACTTTGTTACAGCAGTTTTGAGAAAGTAATACAGGTACTGTTATCAAGGACATTTCCCTGACACTTCATTCTCCTACTCTGTGACACACACAGAAATGTTTGGTGTACCACAAAACTTAACACAACCTGAGGAATGTGAACACAACATCCCATACCCAGATAAGGTAACAACAAAAGATGGAGGTCATGTTTCTTAGGACCAAAGCTTGCATTGCTCCTACTGTCACTGCAGGTGTCAATAATGACATGCTGTCATAGATTGCCAGCACTGCCAAGTCTGAATTCCATAATTTATCCAAAACTGTTCTTACCTACAAATCACTATCTGGCCGCACCTGTAATCCCAGCACTTTGGGAGGCCAAGGCAGCTGGGCCACTTGAGCTCAGGTGTTCCAGACCAGTCTGGCCAACATGGTGAAACCCTGTCTCCACTAAAACTACAAAAATTAGCCGGGCATGGTGGCACGCACCTGTAATCCCAGCTGCTCGAGAGGCTGAGGCAGGAGAATCTCTTGAACCCGGGAGGCGGAGGTTGCAGTGAGCTGAGATCATGCCACTGCACTCCTGCCCGGGCAACAGAGCAAGACTCCATCTCAAAAAACAAACAAACAAACAAAATACAAATCGTTATCACATTCTATCGCTTCACATCCTTTCCACCTCATTAGCAGCCGTACAAATTGCTTTCCTTTTTAGAACCATTTTTCTACAATGAAACAAACCGTGCTTTTTTTTTTTTTTTTGAGATGGAGTCTCACTCTGTCACCCAGGCTGGAGTGCAGTGGCGCGATCTCGGCCCACTGCAAGCTCCGCCTCCCGGGTTCACGTCATTCTCTTGCCTCAGCCTCCCAGCTGGGACTACAGACGCCCGCCACCACGCCTGGCTAATTTTTGTATTTTTAGTAGAGACGCGGGGTTTCACCGTGTTAGCTAGGATGGTCTCAATCTCCTGACCTCGTGATCCGCCCGCCTCAGCCTCCCAAAAGTGCTGGGATTACAGGCATAAGCCACCGCGCCCGGCCCAAAGTTTGCTTTTTTTTTTTTAAATTACATTGTGCGAGTTACTAGGTTTGCAATGAATACAAGAAGAGAAAAACAAGCCTGCATAGACTTACTTGAAAGGGTGTCGGCAAGAGTGAGGTATGCTAATCTCACTCACTAGCTAAGTGATGGGTCTTTCCAAATCAGACTGACAGCAAACATGATTCAAACACACTCCTCAGAAAAATGACAAGCTACTAACAAGGTATTTGCTTTCACTTCAAAAGAGTAAAATATATGCTTATGAGATCCATGAAAGCCAAGGAGTGAAGTTTTTTTATTCTGATACTTAGTCATTACACTTCTAAATATGGTTCAATCTACTTTTTATACTCTCAGTATTCTTTACTTGGGAACCACTCCCTTGGAGATATTTGAAAAGTGCAGGAGTGTTTGGGTTTTCACATAAATGGAGGAGTGATTGGCAATTAATGGGCAAGGCTTGGGGAAACAAAACATTCCATAGAGCAAAGGACTATAAATATTTGTCCCTTCCCAAATAGTAAAAGCAACTCTAGATTGAGGCCTTCATCCCATCCTGGCATTTCTTTAAGATTAATGGTCTTTTCAGTTTGGGCTCTCTGTTCACCCTTTGACTTCTTCCAGAAACCACGTGGACGTCACAGATCTTCTCTCCGTTTTGACAGGTGTGTCATTCCTCAGTATGTCCAAAGAACACTGGTTTCTCACTCTATCCTCCTTATGGGATGTTGTAACAGATACACTGGGTAATCAATAGAACTGTTCTTATTAGTTTTCTGTCTCATTTTCAGGGGCAAGTGGCGAGATGGGTGAAGTATTATAGATATATCTGACCAACAAAGTGTACTTGAGATAGGATGTCTTGGAGGTGTTTTAAAATATTCTTTTATGCAATTCTCTATTTTCCTTCATGATTACTGTTAGTGTCTCTTTCTTTTATTCATTCATTTATTTAACATAAAAAAGGACCTACTATGAGGAAGAAATTGTGTTAGGTCCTATGGAAGAAGGTCACAGATAATGATAATGAGGTCTTCATTCTGTGATGATCAAATTTATCCTATTGTATCTCCCATTAATTCTTTTTATTCTCTCTGATAACTTCCCCCAACTTTTTCTACCTCTTGATCTAGAAAAAATTCACTCCTCCACCAAAATAATAGTCCTATTTGCTAAAATATCTCCATTCACAGGTTAGCTTTTTGATTATTTCTTCTACTATAAACAAATACATACATACATATTTTCTCAGCTAAACTTCGTAATATGTGATTTATACTAATATTACATATGTGAAAACTGAGCTTCACAAAAGTTAAATAACCTTCCCAACTTGCTCATGGATTTCAAAGCAGATCCAGCTGATCCCAGTGCCTGTGTTCTTAACTAATGTAAAATATTTCTGATATTTAAAATCACTTTTGTGTGACTTCTAGTGAGCTTATAAATACCTTACTTGAAAGTTTCAGACACATTTGGCCTTCATTCTCAGCACCTTGACTAAATTGTTCATGACTGTTTTAGAAAACTGTTTGTACCTTCCAAGTTTCTACTAACACTAAATTTTAAAAGTTTAAAAACTTTTCTGGGTTTCTTAGCTAATACAAATCCAAAAGGCAGAAATTCCAAATATAACTGGGTAGTCCTTTGCAATTTTTCAAAGCCTTCAGGCTTTTGAAGTTCTGTAGATTTGCCTTAATCTGTTGCTAGAACACTGCACATGCTCTAAACAGCCTGCCAGTCTGAGAAACTTAGCGTGAATGACACAAGTGTTGTTGTTGTTTTTTTTTTCCCCAGGTCAGAGGATAGTGTGAAACAGTACGGGAGGTCATGGGAGGGGAGGAATCCCAGGATAAAGAAATTAACTAGAGGAACAGGAAGTAAAATAGAAAAAAAAATCCAGAGACCTAAAGAAAAACCTTTCCAATTGAAGCTGTCTCCTCCCCACCAAGCACGTACCTCTTGATAGATAGCTTTTTGAATCAGTTCAGTCTATTCCGATAGCAACTTCAAAGGGCCAGCACATAGCTGACAGTGTGTCATTCCATTGTCATATCAATGGAAGTCAGAGATCAGAAATCTGCAGATACCAGAGAGAGTGATGGTACTTTGAGGCCTCAATCAAGTATCAGATTTAGGAATCAGGACAGTTAAGAACAAGAAATCAGTCTACAATATTTTCCTAACACTTGTCCGGCCCCAGCATAAAACACAGGCATCAATTTGGAATTATAAAATAAATTAGTGATTGACATATATACCTTCTTTGCTTTCCTTCCTCTCTGAAGCCTGGGAGCCTGAAACACATAGAGAACACTGGGGTAGATGGTACAGAGAAAGGCCCACCTCGGACACCTCTATTCTGCTATGGTAACTGCCATGCCCAGGTACCCCTCAAGCAGCAGGACACTATTTCTACCCCTGCCCATGACAACTCAGTGGCATGGTGGTGATAGCATCGCCCCTGTGCATGTAAGCACACCAAAGCCTTCTAGTATGCTGATAATTTCATACTTTACACCTAAACCTTCAACCATTTTAGAATTTATTTTGGTGGTACTTTTTTTCTAAATGGCTACATAGTTGTACCGGTACCTACTACTTCTTATTGACTCATTCATCCTTCTCCCACCATTCTAAAGTTCTGCCTAAGTTAATGGGGTATATTTGGTGTTAAGAGAGGGTTGTCCACAATGGACTAACCCATTGAACACCGCACATGGCAAAATGATACTAAGTAGTCTATTCCTGTTTGGTGTGTTAATCTGCATTAATCATGCCTTTTTATTTTTGTATTTCTGATGATTTGTCATCTGAGGCCTTGTGGGCCTGAAGAGACTGCCCCTTCCAGGGCTACTCAATGCCTAATAATAGTAAAAGACCCACCTGGCAGTGTGTTTTCACATGCAAACCAACGAATCCAGAGCCCATACCTCAACCACCTCCTCTATCAGGCTCTCATGCTCTGGGCCACTATCCTTCTGCTCAAATCACTCCAGGGCCAGGTATTAGACAACTAGAGACAACCCCTACACCACTGAGACCACCGGAATTATACAAACTAGCTAATCCCAAGCCTTCTCACCCTGCCTTATTTGTTCCCGCCCACGGAAAACACAAAAGGCTCTTGCTCCTGTTTTCTTTTGGCTCCCTCTGCCCCTGACTGACCCTGGTGCTTCCCTGTATGGCCCCTGCATGTGGCCTGCCCCTCTCTTCTTGGGAACTTGAGAGTGACAAACTATCTCTTCAATAACAATCACCTCCTAATCTATTGGCCCCACAATTCCTGAAAAATAATAAAACCTACGTTTAAAAATACAGTTCTTACACAGACTTAGCAGGAAAAGGAAAAGGAGACTTTTTTTTTTTTTTTTTAGATAGAGTCTCACTCTGTTGCCCAAGCTGAACTTCAGTGGTGTGATGTCAGCTCACTGCAGCCTTGACTTCCGGGACTCAGGTGATTATCACACCTCAGCCTCCCGAGTACCTGGGACTACAGGCACATACCACCATGTCCCACTAATTTTTGTATTTTTAGTAGAGACTGAGTTTTGCTATGTTGTCTAGCCTGGTCTTGAACTTCTGGGCTCAAGTGATCCTCCCACCCTGGCCTCCCAAAGTGCTGGGGTTACAGGTGTGAGCCACGGTACCAGGTGGAGACATTTCTTTATAGCCACAAAATAATCCCTCTGAACACATTGGTGTGTTCTGATAAGTTATCAGTCAAATGAAAGCCCATTGTATAAGAATAAGAGTTGGAGAAGGAACACACTCCAGTTGGTTTTATACTTTATCATAAAAATATTTAAAGCATGCCAATCTTTAAAAATATTAAAATGTAAAAGTCTCTCTTTTTATTGATTTTAATATATTGGAGTAGTGTTCTTTAAAATTCCCTTAAGGTCAAATATGCCTATAAATAGGAAACTTTGCAATAATTTTTATTGATGGTTCCTTGCCCATTAGAAATACTTGGAAGTTGTAATTACATTGTCTTACTGATTATTTGAATTACGTATTGAAAAGAATTTTGGGGCTCTTAATGTGTAAAGAGTTTATGTTGTATTGGTCATCAGTGTTTTTAAAAATTATTTATTATTTATGATGATGGGTGGCTATTGAAGGGAACATAGGTAGATATTAGAATCCGATTTGAGGTCTTCCCTAGCATAATGGAAATAACTTAAATGTTTAAATAGCAGGAATTATATATGTATTTGATATAATGACTTTAGTGGGTACCTCCTGTGGCAGGGGCCAAGAATGACAGGCAGTCATATTCCAGCAACCAGGCTGTATTTATTTTATTTCCTTAGAAGACACACTGCATTCAAGATAAATGAGGCAGGGCTCTTGAGCAGACTTGCAGAAAATGTTTATACTCCCTGTTTCCAACGGAGAATCACCTGCTGCCATCTGCTCCTACTCCAGCTCCCAAGTCCTTATAGCCAGCGGTCCACTGAGGAGCCCAGTGACTGTCAGAACACTGTGGTCTCAGGACTAATCTACCAGAGAAATAATCACATCACGTACCCTGCTCTCCAGGTTTCTTCTCTCCAAAAAACCGAGGCCTAATTTAAGGAATCTAGAAGTAATAGTAGTTAAAAGTTGTGTGAGTGCCCATTATATTATCTGAATCTATACTGCTTTGGGAAGAGTTAGTAGGCAAAATAGAACTTAGTGGCCAAGGTAAAGAGACATACAAATGACGGATAGTGCTGTAAGCCAATCCCATAAGCTAAAAGTCATATTTACTGTCAGTTTACCAAAGGCCTTTGTAGAAGTGTAACTATGTCGGTATGTATAAACAATTGTTGAGGTAGGTTCCCAAGCCTAGCAACGGACTAGATGGATTAAAAAAGTAGGAATAGCAGAAATGCTAGGCACGATGGACACAGTGGCCCTTGCTGCCTGGTAGCCACTAATCTCATTCTTTCCCACTCACTCTCCCATTTTCTGCTCAGAGAGTGGGCAGTAATCTCTTGATTTCAAGGGAAGTAGGATTTTCCCTGGTCCCAAGGGATACATCAAAACTGCTTCCTTGTCCAAGGTGTAGAAAGAAAGAAGGTTCAGCAAATGAAGAACTTAGTGAGTTTATAGTCTAGAAGAAAAGTGTAAAGCTGAAAGAAGGAAGAAAGCAAGGACACAATGTGTTAGGGAGTTTAAGCATTTTAGAAAATTAGAGATATTTATCAAATATGTAAATAAAGGCTAATCTTTCCCCTTAACTAGGAGAACTTAATTGCATAGAAGTAAATGTGTTTGAACAGACTGGCATGTGCTCTGAGGTCAGTACCTAAATTCTCTAAACCTTTTTAAACCTCTTTGCATGTTGAGGTAAGCTAGTTATCTAAAGAACAAACACAGACACTATTAAAGGCTTTTCTTGGCTGTATACACTGATTATGATTCATCAAATAGGTGACTTACTTTCTAGTGTTTCAACATAGAAGCTGACCATGGGTTCACATGGATGCCACATCTGAACATACAAGACTGTAGTCCTCACAGAGGGATGAATACTCTTGTGTTGATAAAACAGTTACACAAGGCCTTCCTGTACATCTTTTCAGTCATGGTGATAGTCATGTTAAACTCTTTTCAAGAAGCAGCCAAATTTTACATCATGAAAAGCCAATATAGTACAGGTTCCCATATAGAAATGCCAATCATCAATTCTTTGTACACCTCAAGTTCCACATCTGTGAAATGAAACTTTTTCTTAACTCGCATAGAAAGCATTACAGTGTTAGAGTCAGGTGTTTCTGCTCAGCATACCACAGTGCTCTTACATAGAGTCTGAAAGCAAGGAACCATGAAGAGAGTGTCCCAGGAACTTGGCATTCCACATGCATGTAGGAACAGGTGACGATCTAGTTTACAGTATTAGAATCTTCTTTCAAAACTGACATACTTTAAAAGTGGGACAGATAATTTTAATATTATATGTTCTTTGTTAATTGTTTTGAATAATTTTAATGTTCACTGCCTTTTAATAAAATTTATTTTACTTCATTAGTTTTTAAAGTCTATCAAAATGGATATCAATTTTAAATAAAAAATTTAAATTTCCTTTTTTCCTTCTCATTTTATTAATCTCAGCAACAGAATCCAAATTAATTAAAACTGACAAGTACATTCCACAGGTTGACATGTTTTATTAAGAATTCTTGTTCTTGGCTTCATTTCTGCTGACTCTAAATTTTTTAAGTATGCTATTGTTCTTTCATTAGACATAAAAATTTGAGCAGTTAGAGTAATTTTTTGGTATTCCCTCATAATTATTCCTCATTTCAATGTATTATCTTCTTTTTCATTTTAAAATCTGATATTCTTTTTCTTCTTCTACTTACACAGTACCAAATTCCTATACTTTTCCCTTTTCTCAAATACGAGTCTCAGAAATACAAACCTCCTATATATTTATTTAGATATTTAAAAAGTATCTCCTTTTTATAGTTTATGGGTTCACTTAAGTAGCCAACATACAAAACTGACCCACGATTAAGGTCTGTTAACCCAAGAGCATGATTTTAATTCCTATTGTAACAGACTCATAGTGAGTAATACTCTGCGTTCCCATGTACTTCTACAAGCTTACATAGCAGTTGTATTGTCCTGTGTACACAGAATGTAAGGTTACAAAATTCAAATATGCGGATAACAAAAGCTTTATAGGTTGATTAAGTTAATTGTAAGTACATCAAAAGATAGCACGTATTATTTGGTTTTCTTTTGGCTTTTTTTAAAAAAAAAAAAACACACACGCAGACACACACAAATGGCCAAGTAGTTGTTTTCATTTTGACAAGCAATTACACAAAAAACTCCCACTGCTTTTGTCAACAGATCAAATCCTAAGGCACTCTACTCTCTCAAAGTTTCAACCACTAAAATGTGGGTAAAGCAAAGAATACACCACAGCAAGCACTAAACAAATATAGCAATTTAGATTTTTATCGGAAGCAGTTTTTATATTCCTTCAAATTAGCACTGGAATTCTGTATATGAACAGATACATCATGTGGCAGCAGCGATTAACGAAAGAATCCAAGAAACACTGCACTATAACGATCACATTTCAGCGTGGAAGAACAGCACTATGTCCAATCTGTTGCCACAATGTAGACACCGTGGAGAGCTGAATGGATCATGACAGAAAACAAGGGTATAAATAAAACCGCACACAGTCTAGGTCCTGAATTTGTGGTGATATAAATATCCCCAAATTATTAAACACAATCAACAACAATACCTGGCAATTTGTCTCCAAATTAAGAACAAAGCACCCAGCTCTCACCTTGCACAAACATACACTTCAGTGGTCAGTGACAAATGCAGGCTGCACTTGCAAGCTGGGAGACAGAGCAGCTGCTCTGTCCTGAGTCGCTTAAAGCACATTCGAGCCCAACTCAGGTCCTACTGTGTTTGCTCACTGCAGTTTCTCCCATGACTCCATCACCCAGGAATGGAAACCACGGCTCGCTCCCCAGCACTAGTGGGCTCCCCAGCTACTGAGCTCAGGTAAAAACGCTGAGTCCTGCAAGGTCACCACAAGGTGACCACAAGCAAAAGGAGTGTACAGGGAAGAGGAGGGGCTGTCATGGAAAGACCCTAAACTCCAGACACCTTGCCTTTCGAGATTCTGAACTCCGTAAATCAGAGCTGGGACAATAAAATCTGAGAATCCCAAATGGCACCAAGCCAAGCAACCAACCCAGGGGCACTGTTTAAGCAATAATCTCTCTCTCTCTCTAAACACACACACACACACACACACACACACACACACACACACACACACACACACACACGGGCAGACTTCAGTGTAGCTATTCTAATTGCCCAGACATCCCTCTCAAGCCCAAAAGTTGTTTATTTTTTTCAGGTTTCCAGGTAACAGGGCTTAAAGAAGGATCTTAGAAAATTGAAGTATTTGCCAAAATCAAATTAATTCTAAGAGCAAAATGATTTCTGGCCCATAAACTCATATAATAAAGTCTTGCATTTTGCATACATACTGGAATTATGCAAACTTCCATATTAAAATATAGTAAAGATGTATTTATTTCAGAGCTGACAGAATCAATTTAAATTTCTCATAAAAATTCCTATCATCTTTCAAAATCAGTCTCGATTATGCATGCACACTTTAATTTTGGGGGTCTTCAAGAAGGCATTTCTTGCCAAAAATATAATCACTCTGAATGTATATATTATAAATAGATACAAACGTGTTAATAAATATTTCCCTGTAGAGTCTAAGTTTTTATTTCTCATATTTTGATCTTCTTAGAAGTGGAGAAGGAACAATTTTTAATCTTGCAAGTGCCTTACAAAACATTTCTTCTTAGTTGTATATATTTTTTAATAGGTAAATAATGACTTAACTGAATTTTAGATTGATTGCATGAGCAAGAAATTATTCTCACCCTTTAGACAATTTTTTTAACCTCCTTCTCCAACCACCACTGTTCATTAGCAATTTAACCTCCTAGGTGTCAGTTTTGTAATCTATAAAACAGAGATTTCTTACTAGTGCCTGTTTTGTCTACTTCCTTGGCTGGTGACATCAGGGTGAAATGGGACAGAGTGTAGGACAAAATGCTTTCTATATGTGCAGTACTTGAAAAAATGCACTTGCTGCATTTCCTCCCTCTTATTTCCCCAGTGAGTACTGGGACTAGTAAATTACTTGCTGCATTCTCAAGGAGGGCTTCTTGGGCTTCAAGGAAACTGCTTGTTTCAAGTGGGCTATAAATAGAGTTCGAGATTTTATTGAACTGCTGTTCTCTTTGTGGCAGATCTTGAGGGCAGCCACCACATGGCCAGAGTCAGTTAATTGTGAGCAGCATGAGCCCCGTCTAGTGTTTGAGGCAGAACAAGACTAGTCAAAATTCTGGGAGAAAATGCTCACGTGCATGGTTGGTTACATAGTTCGCCTGGCATCCTGTTGTACTCCTGTGTTTGAGGGGGATGGAGAAGGGGATTAATGAAGGGGAAAGGTTAGCTATGGAATGCCAAGTTCACTGCTGAGTTATTCAGTAACAAATGCATCTGGGCATTCATGCTAATTTCTCTACAATTACTTAAGCATTTTTTAGAGGTCGAGTTGTGGAGAGGGGCGGGGAACAGAGGGAGGGAGACAGGTGGAGAACAGGAAAGGAACTGAAAATGTGGCCACCCGTCTTATGAGACACACAGGGCTGGGAGCTGGGAACTTTATGTATATTATCTCAGTTAGCTCTCATAATAATCCTAGGAGATACCTGTTATTCTTATTTTACAGATAAGCATAATTAACCTGTACACTGTTAAAGGTCAATGGTGAAGTTAGAATTACAATCAAGATCTGCATGGTCTAGAGTTCCATAGTCTGAGTAAATTAGTTACCTTACAGCTTTCTCAGAAAAAGAAAGGAAATAAAGTGTGGTTTTTATATAGTGAGAATAGGGAAGACAAGAATACAAGTCACCCGGAAAACTTCTTGAGGATATTGACTAGGAAAGTTAACTTTTACAAAGAGTCCAGAGATTTTTAGAAAAATGAGTTTTGATTTTTTTTAACAATGAATTCATTGCAGGATGCAGAAAGGAAAAATCAGTTTTTATTACTAGTGCCAATACTTATTTTTTAAATTGGGTCCTGCTTGTTTTTCAATTGAAGAAGCAAGTTCAGAAGTCTTTCTGTATAGTAGACTATTACTCTGGTTTTTGTAACATACACATAATGCATTATTTTATCTTAATTTTCTTAAATTATCAGACCTTTAACAATGCTCTTAAGGAAGCAAGGCAATCTCTTGACCTTCGATGTAGCAGAACACTTTTTTTCAACTGTAGTGTGGAATATAGTACAGTAGCCATAATTTTCTCCTGGGTTTGAGGATGTTAATAAATTGGCAGGTTCTTTCAACCAATTTTATTGGAAAGCTAGAGGCAGAGTCTGAACTGCAGGGCTACATGTATGTGTCTGTGTTCTACCCTTTAAGTAAGTGTCATTCCCAGCTGTAAATGTTTTAAATCTTATCTGAAGTCAGTTTTCAATTATTCAGATATCTCAATTGAAAAACAATAAAAGTGGAAACAGAGTTTTAGGCACTTTCTTCAAATTATTATACTGCCCCACTAAGGTATTTCTTTTCTTTTCTTTTCTTTTTTTTTGTTTTGTTTCGTTTCGTTTTTTTGAGATGAAGTCTTGCTCTGTTGCCCAGGCTGGAGTGCAGTGGCATGATCTTGGCTCACTGCAACCTCCGCCTCCCAGGTTCAAGTGATTCTCTTGCCTCAGCCTCCCTAGTAGCTGGGATTACAGGCACATGCCATCACACCTGGCTAATTTTTATATTTTTAGTAGAGACAGGGTTTCTCCATGTTGGCAAGGCTGGTCTTGAACTCCTGACCTGAGGTGATCCAACCATCTTGGCTTCCCAAAGTGCTAGGATTACAGGCATGAGCTACCAACCTGGCCGGGTATTTAGTTTCTCAAACACTACTGCTAGTATTGCCCTAGTGTAATTACCATGGCAGAAAATAAGAGCACATTGCTTCCTCCCTTTGTCTCTGAACCTCTATGTTGTTTTTTTTTCCTCTTGGATTTTAAGATCCGGATTTTAGAATCATATATGGAAAAGACACTTGCACTGAAGTTTAAAAGTATGAAGAAGAAAGCATCCAGAAGAATTGGTCGACATTTGCAATCAGTGAGGAGAATAAATAAGATGTTTTGGTTTTCTATTTGGTTCATGCTACCTTGCCCAGTAATGATACCTTCCTGATGTTTCCTAGAGGCAATGTTTCATTTCACACAGATACTCATGAAGGTCTGGCCTGAAATCCTTGTAGTATTTCCACTTAGGGTAGTACTGGGTTCATGGATGAGTCGGATGGGGTTGTTTCTAGTGTGTGAACTAATGAAGACAAGTATTTTTCTAACACATTTCCCCTGCCACTCCCTTCCATGTGGCTTTTTTATTTAGGCCTTAGAAACAACTCCAAATGATAATACTTATAAGCTGTGAAGAGCAAATACTGTCGAAACACTGAAAGTCATTTAGGCATAAAAATGAAAGTAATCCAAAATGTGAAAGCTTTTAGCAACCATCTTATGTAGATGTTTAAAGATAATCTGTATGAGGTCTCTTAACCTATTCTAGAAAATGTGGCACAGCTATAGAGTTAAAACCATGAAATTAAACACCTTCTGAGCAGTCATAATTTACTGTATTTCTAAATATAATTGTGTTTTTTTGCTGGATGGTAATATTTTTCTAGATGGGAAAGATGTACTTCTTAATGCCTTTTCTATCTTAAGATGTAAAGAACCAATGTCTTACTTTCATTCAAAGTTTCCTAAATACATTTAAGTGGTTTCAGAAAAAGAAAAAGAAGAAAGAAAGGGAAGAAAGGGGAGGGGAGGGGAGGGGAGGGAAGGGAGGGAGCTAGGGAAGAAGGGAGAAAGGCAGGAAGGAAGGAAGGAACCTGAAGATTATCCCTTTGTGAACTCCGGAGAAGGAATTCCTGGGCACTTAAAGCTTTAAGATGTACAAACAAGGTCATTGAACATATTTGAAATCTTTGTCAAAATACAGCCTCGTAGTATAATTGTACCCCCTCCCCAAACACACACACCTAAAGCATAAGCCATTTTAGTCAGGTGGCTCATGGCCAGGAAAGGCCCTCAGGCACCCAGCTGCCTGAGCTGAGTGATAACAGTGTCAGCTGCTGTTCCATCAAAACACTGCATGTGGGGTTCCTTCAGAAAGCCTGGGACACATGGGAACATTGGTGCTCCTGTTGCCACCAACTGAATCCTTGAGGGAAAAGCCTTCAAAAGCATTAGTGTCAATGCCCCTAGTTCTTAAATGACTAAAAGTATATTCATATGCCATGATGCAATCACACTGAAATTAGAGGACTGTGTTAGGATTTTCATAAGATATTTTATGATACATTACTGAGTAAGGCATATTAGAAAATAGTAGGTACAATATGATCCGAATTTTGTAATAAATATTCAATATATAGAAAAATCTGAAAATATGCACTATGATGTTAATAGTTTTTATCTCTAGGTAGTGAAATTACAGCAATTTTATTTTCTTTCTGATCTTTTAGCATTTTCTAAATGTTCTTCAATGGCCACTACTACAATGTAGTGAAAGAAGGAAGGAAAGAAAGAAAGAAAGAGCAGAAAATAGTAACTCTAGTTCATAATAAAGAGATCATTTTTGAAGTTTTTTTGACAAAGTTAATTTGTCATGCTTATAATCACTGCCAAGTGAAAAAATTCCAGTTTTCAGACATGTTATTACCATTACTCTCATCATCTGCATTAAAAATATTCATGGGTACACATAACAAAATTCTAGATGCTGCTGTCCTATAATATAAGGAAATATAGTGTACTTTGGACTTCACTGATTTTTAAAATATAAAAAAGTGATACAGGGAATATGGCAGGTGTGTGTATGTGTGTGCAGGAGCAAGTGCATATAAATTCAAATATAAAGAGAATAGATATGGTATAAATATAAAGAGCATAATACATTCATGAATGTATAATCATAGTCTTGGGGTAACTGCTTATTTCTAAAAAAGAAATGGTGAACTAACAACACATGTATGATCAAGAAAATGTATTGTCTTCTAAAATATTGTGTTGCATGAACACGTATTTCAGAGAGATCTCCTCTGTAACAGCAACATATATTGGTTTGGAGGTGAGCAGGGTGCATGGGGAGAGATTACATTGCTGATGTTACCTGTGTCTTATTTTGTATTTTTGTTTGCATTCTTTACATCTTTCTGACATAACCAGGAGACAGCTGGTAAATAATTCAGCATTACAAGAAATCAACAAACAGCCTGTTAATTAAATGGCAGACTTGGGTCCTCAATGTAAATCTTCTTGGGAACAGAGTCTTCAGCACAAAAGTCTTAAGCCAAGTCAGAATATTTGGACTTGGCTTGTTATTTGGTTTGTTATTTCAACAAACCAAAAAACTCATTTTTTGGTTTGTTGAAATAACATTTGAGGGACTGGAAAAACAGAAAGACCAAATCCACATTAATTGAACATTTCACTTTTTAATAGTTAAGTCATAGCCATGTGTTTCCTTTTTAAATTGAAACAAATTTTCCTAACATGCATATATGGAGAAAATGCTCCATCAGCTGACCAAGGCTACATTTCAAAGGAAAGGGATTTATTCTTTAACTAGAAAGTCAACACAAATGAAATTGTAAGTTCACTATGCTCCTCAGATACTATTGAGCTAGAGCTCAAAAATATAAACCTGTAATATTTTCAAAACAACAATCACCAATAAACTCTCTTAAGAAAAACAGTAAATACTTTTACATATGTTTTATCTTCGCTTTGGCCTGTAACCAAAATAATGCATAGGTTTGCATTATTCCTACTCTTTAAGTAATAGTGTTATCATTCGAGTTATTTTTGGAAGCTGAATAAAGTTTGAATACACCTAAATTATATTTTTATGTAATGATCTGATATTATTCTAAATCTCATCTTGGTTGATTTAAAAACTAATTAAAAAATTAATAATTTATGCCTTCATATAAAAATAATAGGCTGGGCATGGTGACTCATACCTGTAACCCCATCATTTTAAGAGGACGAGGCAGGAGGATCATTTGAGGCCAAGAGTCCAAGACCAGCATGGGCATGGGCAACACAGTGAGATATTTTTTCTACAAAGTATTTTTAAAAAATTAAACAGGCATGATGCCATGTGCTTGTAGTCTAGAGGCTGTCCAAGAGACTGAGGCAGGGAGATTACTTGAGCCCAGGAGTTTGAGGCTGCAGTGAGCTATGACTGTGCCACTGCACCCCAGCCTGGGAAACAGAGTGAGACCCTATCTCAGAATAATCATAATAATAGTAAAATATTTGTCTTATGGATTATATGTTATCATTAAGAAGACAACTTTTTCAAGTTTAATCTACTCAACGTAATGATCATATCTGTTCAAAATTTAGGAATTTACTATGAAAACAAGTTTCTATTTAAATTTAAAGATCTTAATATTAAAGAAAATTATATCTATAGGCTCATCACCTGTACAGTATGCCTATTTACCTGCATATGAATATAAATGCATATATATGTCTATTCCAATCTTTTTCATGGGTAGAGCTTTATGTGGTTGTAGTCATAGTACACATATACATTTTTTATTTATTATTTCACTTAGAATATTTTATAAGCATTTTTAGTTGTACCTCCAATCTTTAAATGAGATATAAAACACTAGGTAAACTGTAAAATAGACAAATAAAATATTTATATATTTGTTATTTTCAATGCCTGCAAAATATTTTAAATTAATATGATATAGCTTATTTATACATTTCTCTATTTGAAAGTACATATTTGTTTCCAGTTTTGTTAGTAAAATTATACTTTTATGCTACTAAGTTTTCTACAGATTTCTTTTTTAAGACCTTTTAGAACAAATTTCTGGAAAAATGAAGCAGTGGATCAAAAAAAGTCTACTCTTGGTCTCTCCAAAGTTGAAGAACAATTCATCATGGTGAGTGTTAGCCAAACTCCTCAGTGTCACTGTATTTCAGTCTCTTTTAAAATTATTACTATTGAGCAAATATGTATTTTTTAACTTTTACTTTAGATTCAGGGTATATATGCATTTGTTATATAGATAAATTGCATCTCATGGGGGCTTGGTGTACAGATTATTTCACCATCTAAGTAATAAGTATAAAACCCAATAGTCAGTTAGATCCTTACCCTGCTCCCTCCTTCCAGCCTCAAGTAGGGCCTAGTGTCTGTTGTTCCCTTCTTTGTGTCCATATGTACTCAGTGTTTAGCTCTCACTTATAAGTGAGAGCATGTGGTATTTGGTTTTCTGTTCCTGTGTTAGTTTGCTAAGGATAATGGCCTCCAGCTCCATCTGTGTTGCTGCAAAGGATGTGATCCTGCTCTTTTTCATGACTGCATAGTATTCCACAGTATGTATGTATCACATTGTCTTTATCCAGTCTACTGCTGATAGGCATTTAGGTTGATTCCATATCCATGCTATTGTGAATGGTGCTGTGATGAACATATGCATGCATGTGTCTTTATAATAGAACAATTTATATTCCTTTGGGTACATACCTAATAATGGAATTGCCAGGGCAAATGGCAATTCTGCTTTTGAGTTCTTTGAAAAAAATGCCAAACTGCTTTTCACAATTGTTGTAATAGTCTGTTCTCGCATTGCTACAAAGAAATACCTGAAACTAGTAATTTATAAAGAAAAGAGGTTTAATTGGCTCATGGTTCCATAGGCCGTACAGGAAGCATGATGCTGGCATCTACTTGGCTTCTGGGGAGGTCTCAGGAAATTTTCAATCATGATGGAGTGCAATGGCACGATGTCAGCTCACTGCAGCCTCTGCCTCCTGGGTTCAAGTGATTCTCCTGCCTCAGCCTCCCGAGTAACTGGGATTACAGGTGCGTACCACCACGCCCAGCTAATTTTTTGTATTTCAAGTAGACATGGGGTTTCACCAAGTTGGCCAGGCTGGTCTTGAACTCCTGACCTCAGGTGATCTGCCCGCCTCAGCCTCCCAAAGTGCTGGGATTACAGGCATGAGCCACCGCACCTGGCCAGTCTATTTTTCAAAAATACAAATTTGCAGTATAGAAGAGCTTTCTTATGGTATGTTAATAAATTTGTACTAAATACATTTTTCTTTTACTCATTTTTCTTTTTGCTACCATTGTACATTTCAACAGAGAATTAGAAAAACAAGGAAAACCTAACTACCACCAAGAATCAGCAACAAAGGTGGAAAAATTACTGGAATGGGAGTCAGCCAGATCCAGCCATTTCCCCAACTGAGCAACCTTGGGTAAATCACTTTCCTCTCTATGTTTCAATTTTCTTAACTGTCAAATGAGATTGCAATCAGATATTGGATGTGGAAATGAGATGTAAACTGAGAATCTAAAGAGTTGTCATTATATGACAGTCTGCACTAAATTTTATAAATTTGGCATTACATTGATTTTTAAATGAACTCCATGATTTTTGCTGCCAGGCAATTCTAAGTAATAACACAATATAAAGGCATATGGCCATCAGCATATACCAATATTTATTCATAAAGCAAAGGATAGAGGAAGGATGTGTAAAAATTTAATTTATAGGAGTTTCCATACAGCTTTTGCAGCTGTACAACTTTTCAAACTGGCTAAGCTATGGCTCTCAAAAAAGTTATATCTTTTGAAAACTACCTCCCTCCATAAGCCCTATGACGTTTCTCTTTAAAACAAAACAAAGCAATATAACGGCAATCTGTTGTGAAGAGTGTTGCTGTGACATCTTGGGAGAGAAGGAAAGACAAAGAATGAGGAAGTGGTCACAGGCAATAGCAGATGCAATAGACATATCTACTCACAACAGGGAATCAATAAACGTTAACTGGATATAGAGAATAAAAGAGAATTATTTCACTGGGAAGGAAGAGAACCCAGTGTAGAGAAGAAATTTGAAATTGGAGCCCTATTTCTCTCCAATGAAAATATATATTATCTAAAACAAGTTTTCAACTTCTCACTAAAGTCCTGACTGTTGTGGTCAGCAATATCAGGAGCAGAGGGACGCATTTAAAAGGACCAGGTGACACCTAACTGAGGCCCTTTTGATGATCAATCACTCTCTGCTGTGGTAGTGAACATTTCTTTCCTAATTTACATGGTCTCAAATTACGCTAAAGTGGTCAAGAGAATGACAAGAACCTATTTGACCTCAGAAGTCAAATGCTTTGCCTTCTTCACCACGTTTCTGAAGAAAAAAACACTAATTATAGACTGATGACTTAGTGGGTATAATTATTTTTAATGTTAGCTTGTGTGATGGTTTTGTGTGAGCTGGAGAGACGATTTTAAGTATTTTCTGTGGTGCGGGTGGACAGGCCTCTGAGGAGTTGATTTCACCCCCTGCAGGTGGGCAGGGGTCCCAGATAGGGCTCAGTCCTTGAGAACCTCTGGTCTATAAACCGGTCTTTGTGGAACCAGGTGAAGCCAGTGTGAACTCACCTGGGGGTTCCCTTATCTGCATTATTAGAGAGATTATTCTACTTCTGCATTCATTCTACTTGGTTATTTTTTGTCATTCCCTTTTTGTCCTTCTCTGCCATACAAATTTATGCCAAAGTTGCAACTTCTTGATATAATGTCATTTAAACCATCTGCATATTTTCTATGTGCCAAGCTCTATTCTAAATTAAATAATCTTTATTTTTAAAAAGGCCTTGGCTTATGAAATAAGACTTGGGAAAACTCAATATCACTCTATCGTGATATCAGTATCTTCTAGTAAGTGGTCAATATTATAACATTTTCTTAGATCAAATCTAAAGAGTGATAGGGACTTGGATTTTAAAAGTTAAGATGGTTGGAATATCAGATACAGATTATGCTAACTTTAAGAATTTCATCAAAACAAAGCAGTGACAACTGGGACAGATCCTAAACTAGACCCCAGGATCTGGGATACAAGACCAACCTTTTGTATTAAATACCCCAGTTAAAGTCTACATAGAAAGGATTACCTTCACTGTACTTTTTACACTTAGTTTTCATAATACAATCAGATGTCAAACTCTTTGTCCTAATAAAATGAATTATGTGGAAAAAGTTCCACTTTTTATTATTTATCAAATACATAATTCAGTAAGGTTTCACAAATTGTATGATGTCTTCCCCTAATTTGCACCCAGCACTTACTTCTCATTTAAGGATATCATGGGCACAAAAACATGGATATCCATATGCAGAAAAATGAAATTGGACCCTTAACTCACATCACATACAAAAATTCCTTGAAATGGATTATAGAATTGAACATAAACTGTAAAACTACTAGAAGAAAACATGTGAAAAAAGCATTTTGACATTGGTCTGGGCAATAATTTTTTTGGATATCACTCCTTATAAAGCACAGCTGACAAAAGCAAAATAGATAAATGGAATTATATCAAACTAAAAAGTTTCCCTGTAGCAAATGAAACAATCAACAGACTGGAGAAAATCTACAGAATGGGAGAAAAATTTGCAAACATTTGATAAGGAGCTAATGTACAAAATATATAAGGGACTCAACTTAATAAAGAGAAAACAAATGACTCAATTTTAAAAATGAATAAAGGACTACTTGAATAGGCACTTCTCAAAGGAAGATATACAAATGGCCAACAGATATATGAAAAGATATTCAACATCACTAATAATCGAAGAAATGTAAATCAAAACCACAATGAGTTATCTATTACTTCACACATATTAGAATGTCTATTATCAAAAAGACAAAAGATAATAAGTATTAGGGAAGATGCTGAGAAAAATAACCCTTTGTACCATGGGTTGGAATGTAAATTGGTACAGCCATTACAGAAAACAGTATGGAGGTTCTTAAAAAATTAAAAATAGAATTACCATTTGGCCCAGCAATCTCACTTCTGGGTATATATCCAATTAAATGAAATCAGTGTCTAGAATGGATATGTGCACTCCCATGTTTATTGCAGCATTATTTACAATAGCCAAGATATAAAATCAACCTCAGTGTCTACTGATGGATATAAAAAATGTGTTATACATATATGTATACCAAATGACCATACGATCATAGTTATTTGCTTTAATTTTGAAAGAAAAAGATCCAAAAGGAATAGAAACTAGGTAAAATAACAAAAAAAGTTTTCTTTCTTGAGGAAACTTTCTTTATTGTATATATAATGTTGAAAACTTAGCCTTAAAAAAGAAGGAAATGTTGTCATTTGTGAAAACATGAATGAAACTTGGGGGCATTATGCTAAGTAAAATAAGCCAGGCACAGAAAGGAAGATATTGCATGATCTCAATTATATGTGGAATCAAACTCATAGAAACAGAGAATAGAATGGTGGTTGCCAGGAGCTGGGGAGTAGTGGAAATTGTGAGATGTTGATCAAAGGGTGCAAAGTTTCAGTTAGGCAGGATGAATATGTTCTGGAGACCTAATGTACAGCATGATGACTATATTGAAAACACTCTAGTGTGTACTTGAAGTGTGCTAAGAAAGTAGATCTTAAATGTTCTGATATGGTTCGGCTCTGTGTCTCCACCCAAATCTCATCTTGAATTGTACTCCCATAATTCCCACGTATTGTGGGAGGGACCTGGTGGAGATAGTTGGATTGTGGGGGTGGTTTCCCCCATGCTGTTCTCGTGGTAGTGAATAAGTCTCACAAGATCTGATGGTTTGATAAGGGGAAACCTGTTTTACTTGGCTCTCATTCTTTCCTGCTGCCGCTATGTGAGACATGCCTTTCACCTTCCACCATGATTGTGAGGCCTCCCCAGCCACGTGAAGCCATAAGTCCAATAAACCTCTTTCTTTTGTAAACTGCCTAGTCTCGGGTATGTCTTTATCAGCAGCGGGAAAATGGACTAATACAGTAAACTGGTAACAGTAGAGTGGGGTGTGGCTGAAAAGATACCCGAAAATGTGGAAGCGACTTTGGAACTGGGTAACAGGCAGAGGCTGGAACAGTTTGGAGGGCTCAGAAGAAGACAGGAAAATATGGGAAAGTTTTGAACTTCCTACAGACTCGTTGAATGGCTTTAGCCAAAAGTCTGATAGCCATATGGACAATGAGATCCAGGCTGAGGTGGTCTCAGATGGAAATGAGGAACTTGTTGGGAGCTGGAGCAAAGGTGACTCTTGTTATGCTTTAGCAAAGAGACTGGTGTCATTTTGCCCCTGCCCTAGAGATTTGTGGAATTTTGAACTCGAGAGAGATGATTTAGGGTATCTAGCAGAAGAAATTTCTAAGCAGCAAAGCATTCAAGAGGTGACTTGGGTGTTGTTAAAGGCATTCAGTTTTACAAGGAAAGTAAAGCATAAAAGTTCAGAAGATTTGCAGCCTGACAATGTGATAGAAAAGAAAAACCAATTTTCTGAGGAGAAATTCAAGATGCAGAAATTTGCATAGGTAATGAGAAGCCAAATGTTATTTCCAAAAAAAATGGGGAAAATGTCTCCAAGTTATGTCAGAGGTCTTCATGGCAGCCCCTCCCATCACAGTCCTGGAGGCCTGGGAGAAAATGGTTTCGGGGGCTGGGTCCAGGGTCCCTGGGCTGTGTGCAGCCCAGGAACTTGGTGCCCTTGGTCCCAGCTGCTCCAGCTGTGACTGAAAGGTGCCAATGTAGAGCTCGGGCCATGGCTTCAGATGGTGAAACCCAAGCCTTGGCAGCTTCCATGTAGTGTTGAGCTTGCAAGTGCAAAGAAGTCAAGAAATGGGGTTTGGGAACCTCCGCCTAGATTTCAGAAGATGTATGGAAATGCCTGGATGCTCAGGCAGAAGGTTGTTGCAGGGGTCGGGCTCTCATGGAGAACCTCTGCTAGGGCAATGTGGAAGGGAAATGTGGGGTTGGAGCCCCCACATAGAGTCCCTACTGGGGTACCTCCTAGTGGAGCTATGAGAAGAGCTATGAGAAGAATCTGTCTTCCAGACCCTAGAATGGTAGGTCCACTGACAGCTTGCACCATTTGCCTGGAAAAGCCATAGACACTCAACACCAGCTTGTGAAAGCAGCTGGAAAGGAGGCTGTACCCTGAAAAGCCATAGGGGTGGAGCTGCCCAAGACCCTGGGAACCTACCTCTTACATCAGCATGCCCTGGATATAAGACATGTAGTCAAAGGAGATCATTTTGGAGCTTTAAGATTTGACTGCCCTGCTGGATTTTGGACTTGCATGGGGTACTCTGTAGTCCCTTTGTTTTGGCCAATTCCTTCCACTTGGATCAGTTGTAGTTACCCAATTACTGTACCCCCATTGTATCTAGAAAGTAACTAACTTGCTTTTGATTTTACAGGCTTATAGGTGGAAGGGACTTGCCTTGTCTCAGATGAGACTTTGGACTGTGGACTTTTGAGTTAATGCTGAAATGAGTTAAGACTTTGGGGGACTTTTGGAAAAGCATGATTGGTTTTGAAATATGAGGACATGAGATTTGGGAGGGGTAATGGGTGGAATGATATGGTTTGGCTCTGTATCCCTACCCAAATCTCATCTTGAATTGTATTCCCATAATTCCCACATGTTGTGGGAGGAAACTGGTGGGAGATGGTTGGATCATGGGGGCGGTTTCCCCCATGCTGTTCTCATGGTAGTGAATAAGTCTCATGAGATCTGATGGTTTGATAAGGGGAAACCTATTTCTCTTGGCTCTCATTCTCTCTCTTGCCACTGCCATTTGAGACATGCCTTTCACCTTCTGCTGTAATTGTGAGGCCTCCCCAGCCACGTGAAACTGTAAGTCCAATAAACCTTTTTGTTTTGTAAATTGCCCAGTCTCGGGTATGTCTTTATCAGCAGCATGAAAATGGACTAATACATGTTCTAACTACAAATATATATATATATATATATATATAAAATAAATATATATATATTTATATAACTAAGTTGATGGATATGCTAATTAGCTTGAGTGTGGTAATCATTTCACAATATTTACAATATCAAAACATCAGGTTTTATGCCATAAATACAGACAATCTTTCTTTGTCAATTATACCTTAATAAAGCTGGCAGTGGGGGGAAGAAAATATAAAAATCAAATAAAATTATTTTTTCATAAGTAACAAAAAGTAGGGCTTATAATTATTTAGGCAGTTTTCACTTTGAAGAATTATACTGTAACTCATACATATGAAAAAGACTGTAGGAATTTTACAACTGAGGACACTGTCACCATCAGACAAAATGTCCCTTACTCAAATTCACATAGATGTTGACCATCTGAGTCAGGCCTAAAAAACACAATGAGATTCTCCATTTGGTTATTATTTTATTTTACTACAAAGTTTTGTCTCATGATTCCTACTCAGGTAGTTAGGCCTTTTCCCTCCACCCCCCATTATTATAGCTCCATTGGTTTAGATAATCAAAGTAAAGCAGTTTATGGAGAAATTCAAATGAACTGCTTCCCTGTTGCTCCCGTGCACACCTCCTATGTGAATGCTGGGTGCACTGAGGTATACTAAGGTAGTTACTATTCTGTTGTGGTTTTCATAAAGAATAAGACTATTTCTGATTGTCATCCAATGATGAGCAATAGTCATGCTCCTAACTCATCTTGGAACGAGGTACTTCCTTCATCCTGGAATAAGATACCTCCTTGAAAAAGAAAATAAACTCAGAAGAAGGCTCTCAAGGGGTGAAAAAAGAAACTGTTTTCTGGTTGACAGACATATGTCTAAGCTTTGAGGAATGTGAAAGTGTTAGAAGAGTCTCCTAGGTAACAAGTTCTAAGATAGGTCCTCAACCACACTGAGGAAGAAATGGGGTCACGGTGTAATTGAGGCAGGTGACCCTGGAGAGTAGGTGGTTATTTCACGGCCAGATGATTCAGTTCCTTGTTGTTATCCTTTGCTTTCCCTGGGTCTTTTGAAGAATCCAGCCTTGTATCAGACGTTCTATTGGCTATAATCAGGAAAGCTATATTGATCAATTATGAAAGCAGAAAGCCCTGTGAAGTAATTGTGGTGATGAAAGCAAACAGCTAATGGAAACATATCTCCTGAAAGGAACTCTCAAGGAACACAGGGAAAGAGAATTGGAGCTATGAGTCTCATGTGAGACTTTCCTATTATTGACAATCTGCAGAATCTGGGTTTTATTGTTAAGACTGGGAGTGGTTTCCTTAACACAGGAGATTTTTTTTTTTAAGGCAAAAAACTCTGGGTTAGAGTTTCAAATGTTGGGTTAGATTTTATCTAGATTCTGAATGTAGTGTGAATTAGTTTCTCTCTTTGGAAATTAATGGATGGTATGAAAATAATCTTAAAAGCTCAAGATATCACTGTCATAGTTATTAAAACCCCCATAAACCTATGTTTGAAATCTACCTTATAAGTAATAAGATTTACTTTAATTAGTTATTATCAAGTAATCATGCTATGAAACAGATATGAAAATAATTTTTTGGAAAAGTGACAGGTTCTCACTTACTTGGCGCTCCAATACTTAACAGAAAACACATTTATTTTTTATTTTTATTTATTTATTTATTTTTGAGATGGAGTCTCACTCTGTCACCCAGGCTGGAGTGCAGTGGCACAATCTCAGCTCACTGCAACCTCTGCCTCCCGAGTTCAAGCAATTCTCCTGTCTCAGCCTCCTGAGTAGCTGGGACTACAGGTGTGCACCACCATGCCTGGCTAATTTTTGTATTTTTAGTAGAGACGGGGTTTCACCATATGGGTCAGACTGGTCTCAAACTCCTGACCTTAGGTGATCCACCTACCTCCACCTCCCAACCTGCTGGGATTAGAGGCGTGAGCTACCACGCCCAGCCAAAAACACATTTATTATAAAGGTAGAAAAAACTAATTATGTTACCAGCTTTTATTTCTCTATACATATATATTAAGCACAGAAGAGCAATATGACTTTGTTTAAAAAAGATGCTAAAATCAATTTTGGATGTAACATGTTTTGATTTTTCTCTGCATCTTCCTGATGATTGTGAACTTATCCACATAATAACAAAATATGTGAAGACTTTCTCCAATCTATAAATAATTACTCTGAGTTGGGATTGTATCTTCATTATAAAAAGTTTCTATTTGTGTTCCATTATCAGTGGGATAAAATGATAAACATTTAAGTAATGGCATAAAAAATAAAACTTTAGGGTGAAACCTACTTAGAAATTGTGTCATAGAAATGAGGTATCATGAATGTAAGCGGCAGTGGAGGTGGGAGGTATCCGTGAGCTCCCCTTGCATATTAAGTTTCTCCTGGGCTGGGCAGCTCACTACCCTAGACTAGAACTCTCTTTCCATCCATATTCACTAGCAACTGGATTCAAGTTCTGGAGTGAACTCATACCTGGGGTGAGGAATAGTGAGCAAACATTTACTAAAGAGAAGGGAAGCTTTAAAATTTGCATCATTTTAATCTTTGTATTTAAAATATTTTATAGGAATTCAACATCTTAAGACAAAACCTTTAGACTCACATTAGTCACATCTCTAGAGGTAATTTCAAATGCTGCCATTTTTAAATAAACTTCTCAAGAGACACACAGAAATCATTGGCTCTTGCATTAGAAAAGCTGCTAGTAGCCATGTAGTTCAAATCCCTATCTTGTCATTAAGTTAAAAATATTGATAGAATTACATTTTTTTTCTGTTAACTATAGTTGAGCCTTAACATTGAAAGAGAGCTCTTCCAAACCTTTCATAAATGTGGAAATGTTTGTATAGGCATTACAGGTCATGAGCCATCAGGTTCACTCATGAAAAGTACAACTACCAAGTAAACATGGAGGGTGTTTTGATTAATGGACATGTTGCTTTCATACTATCTTCTCTGTTTTAATAAAATTAATAACATTAATAAATTGTTTGTGACAATGTCCCAAATTTCTAGTCAACATGTGTTATAATAATTTTATATCTCTACAAACAAAAAGAAGTGACACTGAAGAAACTTTTTTTTAATTTGATTGGGTTCAGAGGATAAAATGCTGATGTTTAGCTAGCTTTTGGTAAAACAATCTAATGTTTTCATTAAAACTATTTACTACATGTGAAGAGTGCAGTACCACTAGAATAGATGAGACATTTGAGGACAAAAGATTTTCTGTATAATGCCATTGGAAAATTAAATGGTATAAAGGGAGTCTAGAAAAGTAAGAAACTGGGGCATAAAACAGCTAAATGACCTGCCCAAGATCACTCAGCCATGTTGAGTGGATGAACTGTGAGTAGTAATGTAGGTTGTCTGGCCCCAGAATCCACGCATCTGACAACGGCACTATTCTGCACTATGAAGCACGTTGATGCATATGCCTGTACTTTGCTTTAATTGTGATCAAGGACAAAATGGATAGCATCCTATTAGGACATGGCCTTGCAGAGCACTATCCTTACTCAGGATATTATTCCTGTTATTTCACATGTGAAGAAATAGAATCATATAAAGGTTAAGGACATTTCTCAAAGTTACATGGCTATTTTGAGCTGAAAATTAAAGATGAAGAAGATATTGTCTAACAAAGTTGGTAATTGACTTACATGAAAGGCAAGGCTGAAATTTTTAAAAAGAAAGCTTGTGTAACATCTAGCATTTATTAAGCATTGATCACGTTCTGAGGACTTTGAATACATTTTTATTATCCTCTCGACAGCCTTGAAAGATAGACTCTCATGTTATCCAATTTTATGATTTCATAATATGTTACAAATGAGGAAATTGAGTCTCAAAAAATTTTAAGTGACTTGCCCTCAATTACATGCTGGGTAGGTTATAAATCAGGATTTGACTCCAAAGACCATGTGCTTTCAAATATACCTTTGGAAGACCCCAGTTTATATTTCCATGCTAGCAGTAGATTATAGGGAAATGACAGAAGGAGAAATCCCTTAATTAGGCACACACATTTCCTGCTTCTTGCAGTCTGTCCTGGACATCTACCCCTCAGCCTGCATGGCTAATACCCTTTCACCATGCATTGCTCCTCTGATCTGAAAAGCCTTATGATGTCCAAAATGAGGGGCTTATTTACCTTCTGAGGTTGCCTCACTGGAATGCTCTGTGAGCCAGAAATTTTACAAAACAATAAAGGATGTTAGAACTAAGCATTGAAGGTCCTGAAGTAGGTTCTATATCTGAAAAAAAGAGTGGGTGCTAACTAATGTTAAATAAACTTTTATAGGCATTAATATATTCCGTTATATTATAACATTTTGGAAGTGTCTATGCCTTGAATGGAATAAGGTAATTCTCTCTCTTATTTCAATACTTACTTGATTAACCATATGAATAATTCATTTGCTGACTCTGCCATTAACACCTTGAAATATGAATATATAACCAGATGGGTATGTATATTTCTTTTCTTAATTTTTACAATAATATATTTATTCTCCATCTATTTAAATGGAAGAGTTCACTTGTTTTTTAATTTGCACTCATTTTAGTACATAATATAAAAACCCCCAAAATGTTAAGAATGTTGAAAATGGTGGCTAGATATATGTCAATCAATGTTTATAGTGATGACTAGAGAAAAAAATGTCTTTGATCTTGTTTGTGTTTGTATTAATAGAAAGCCCTTCTATCCTAGACCAGTTGACCCTGAGGCTGGTATCTCCCCTTGTTTACCTAAAACTTTAACAGGTGTGAGTAATGATTTTCTATGCAATGCTTATGACAGGTACTTACTTTAAATTGGATGAAAGGTGGGAGGAATTGTGTAAACAATTCTGTAATGATCCTTTTTATAACTTCTAGGAAGACATAGTCCCCAGTTCATATGTAACACAGAGCTTGTTTTCTGCTGATAGACTAATCTTTTAAATCACCTACCTTCTCTCATCAAAGAAAACTTTTTTTTTTGCTGTTTTACTTAGTTGCTATTTCTTTTGGGTTATTTTCTTTTATAATTAAAGCAAACAATCACTTCCATATGGACACTGAGATGGCAGAACAGGAATGAAAGCAATCAGTCAAAAAGCTCAAAACAGGACTGAGAAGGAGCTGCTACACCAGGACCAACTTTCTTTAATTCTAGACTCTGGATAATTTATCTTGATCTTCCTTCTCTCTATAGTTTTTTGGAATACAATATTAAGAGTCAAGTCAGAGAGGAGATAGAGTGGAGGTAATACTGTAGAATGTGTGGAAATCCACCTTGCAGACCACCCCTCCCTGGGACAGGCTAAGGAACACCGGCAACTGATAGCATAATTCTTTCTTAATCTGAAGAAACTCAAAACACATTTGCCTAAAGCAAGTGAAGGAATATTGAAAAGAATAAGATGTAAATAAATGAAGGATTTACAATGAACCAAAAAGAAAAAAAAGGTTAAAGTGGCAAAGTGTTTAGAGCAGTTGAAAGGAAGATAATTTACAAAACAATGCTGCTGGGAGTTGAAAAGTAAGTTAACATCTCTCTAGATAGTACGTTAGAATGCCAAGGTCTGAAAATGCCTGCTTATAATCCCTAGGACTTAACATTGAGAATCTTGCTTTATATTGATGCCTGCTACAGAATTTTCTCAAAAGGGTCACAATGAAATAAAAAGCATATTTTTTTCGAATTGGGAGAAAAATAAAATGAGAATGCTGAAACATCTGGTCTCTTTCATTACAAGAAGCAACCGACAACTATGTAAAACTGTCAGAGCAAGCAAATAAAAACATGTATTAGAGTGAATTAGTAATAAAAAACTCTCAAGAAAGACACCTCAACACTGTATTTATAAAGGCTCAGGGAGGGTGAATTTATTTGGGATACAGGGGGAGACAAAAATAAAAAAAGTGCCTTGAGGGATACAGAGCAAAGTTGCTGACATCAGGGTAAGAAAACATACTCTCCAAGACTAGCAAGTCATGGAAGCTTTGGCAGGACCTTGGAATAGCGGTGCTTGAAATGCCCCTGGGAGGTTACAGGATGTGGAGGAGAATGGTGGCTTGGTACAATTCTGAGGTCAGCCCCTGCGCCTCTGGGCTCCAAGGTTGGATGTAGGCCCAAATACCCTAGTGGTCTTGGCACAGAGGCAACAAAACCATCCGTCATCAGGATAGTATGTGGCTTGGACATTAATCATTTCAGCCAAGTGTGAGTTGAAGACCTGAGAATCCTCTCTATGAAATTTTAACACAACCCTAGTTCCCAGGGTGGAAAAATAAGGCAAGGAAAGACAATAATGGGTATGATTGAAGCTTTATTTATTCAACATCCTGGTGACTTGGATTTCAGAGTCTGATTTAAGATAATTAGAAAAACAATAGGTTGTTTGGCACTGTATCAGGAGTGGGATAAAAATTATACTGAAACCATCATTCTCAGCAAACTAACACAAGAACAGAAAACCAAATACCACATGTTCTCACTCATAAGTGGGAGTTGAACAATGAGAACACATGGACACAGGGAGGGGAACATCACACACTGGGGTCTGTTGGGGGTGGGGAGGTTAGGGGAGGGATGGCATTAGGAGAAATACCTAATGTAGATGACTGGTTGATGGGTGCAGCAAACCACCATGGCATGTGTATACCTATGTAACACACCTGCACGTTCTGCACATCTATCTCAGAACTTAAAGTATAATAATAGTTTTAAAAAATTAATTAAAAAAGAAAAAAATTATACTGTTAAAAATACACAATTTTACAAATGCTCTCTGACTTGAAGACACTAGCATTAGCTGAAAATATCTTTGTGGCATTGGGTGCCTTTGATTTGGTTAAAAAGGTAAATAAAATTATTTTAGAACAGCATAATATAGGTCTTTTGTTAAGTTAAAAAGTGTATTATGTATGTCTTTTCTGCCACTTGATAAATGCAAGGCTTTATTCAGACTGATGTAAATAAAATTGGGAAAAAGCCATATGTAGCAAAAGCTACATATTTTTGGGCAGTCATAAGCTTTCTCTTAATTACCTAATTTCCGAGTTACATTAGCATTCTCTTCTTAGAAATGGAAAACTGGAACTAGAGATTACCCAAGTGAACTTATGAAAATAATAATTATTCAACAATTGAGCTGGTGAACATCTTTATTTCTTAACTCCCATTTTTGTGCATGTTTTTTCAGATCACAGTGGATTATATAGCAACATTCTCTTGTTGAGTTCCCAATCCAGCCCCCAATTAAAAAAATATGTCATAGGGAACAACTGCTACCCATGGGAGGGTGTCATGTTCTTCTAGCATGTGCAGACTGCTTTCTAAAGCCTTCTCTCAAATGCCCTTAGAAGTAGAATGTGTAATTTTAGGCCATGTAATTCATGATGGTCACACATTATTGCCAAACAGCATATTTTCAACAATTATACATATTTTCAACAATTAATTATACTAACTAAGCTTCTGTGAACTTAAATGGTAGCAAGCATTGCTTCCTTGCTAAGAAGCTTGTGATAGAGTCCTCTAGATGTACCTCCCCTTAGAATCCAGTTCAAGCATCCCTTCTTCCCCTTTAGACCTTAGATGAGTGGAAGCCAAGACTTAACGACTTGCAACTGATTTAATTTATCACTCTTTGAGGTCAGGGGTAAAAATACTCAATTGGGACCCATCAGACTGAACCAAATTGGAACAAGTTTAGTTTTCTAAACTCAAAGTTCATGTTTCCTGAAAAGCTTTGAAAATCTGGTCAAATGAAGCAGCTGAATGGGGTAGGCTGCCAGAAGGAATGTAATGCTGTATGTATGAGAGAGACAAATAAGTATGTCTGAAGAAGAGATACTTAACCTGGGATGCATGCCTCCTGAGAGTCTAGGAGGCCCTGAAATCATATCCAAAATTCTGTGATTATGTACACATGTGCATTCTTCTAGAGAGACGATCCTGATTTACATTAAATTTCCAAATAGGCTTGTTAAGAACAATTGCCAAGGGTTTAGGCACTGCTAGGTTCTGGCTGACCTCTTCTTGAAGCTCAAAGTTGATCAACATCATTCTTTGTGGAGCAGGAAAAGTTAATGAGCACTAATGGGGCATCAACGAAAGGCCAAAGGAAAAATCCGAAGTTCAGAAAATTTACATTTTAATGCTGCGGCACACCTGAGCAAAGTATTTCAAGCCATAAAGCCTTTGCTAGTATGCTACTAATAAAGAACCCTACAACAGCAGGGGAATCATTTGTGATCAAGACACATTTTAATATAATCCCCAATCAACACAGCTGAGGAGAAAATTTTACATCTTTCTTTCCAGATGGTGCCATTTTATCAGAGTATCACTCCTTGGTATCTTCAGTTAATTAAAGTCCTTACTGTTTGTTAATGGCAGATTTGTGCAGCAGAAATGACTCTGTAACAGATGTCGGTAAATTTATCAAAGCGGCTGGGTAATCATCCTGACTGTGCTCTGAAGAAGTATTTCATTTTCACCCACATTGACTCTTAGAGGACCTAAATATCACCTTTGCCTTTAGTGCTTTTCGAAAGGACGCAAGGGGAATGGGTGGTGTTGGGAGGCGGGAAACAGTGAGATTATTGGTCAAAGTCATCAATATTGAAAGGAATAATCGGTAATGAAGGCATTCTAGCACAGTTTCAAAGACGAAAGTATCAAGATGATATATTTTTATGAGACTCTCCCTATAAGTCTCACCACAGGCTCCCTAATCAACTTGCATTCGTATTTGCTATAAACTTGTAGCTCAAATAAACTTTTATCTCATACCTTTGTTCTTGTTTTGTCCGCATGTATCTGCAACTAAGATGGTACCTAATATAACTAGAGATTAAAGGAAAGAGAAATAGAAGCCATTGACTAACACAAAAAGCAACAAAAGCTATGGTGGGTACATTATCCCACCTCCAAAGCTCCATGGGTCTTTGAACTAAAAATTGCAGATGGGAAGTTTTGTGTATACTGGAATATTGTCTGTTCTTTGACAGTTTCAGAATGCTGTACATTCTGAGTGTACAGCTAATGTCTTCAAGAGAAAAACCCAGGAAAGGGTTAGAATAGAAAGCTTACATTCAAATAAAATAAAATATTTTGAAAAATATAAAGCCCTGTACAAATCCAACATCTTTTAAAAATTAATTGATTGAGGTCTCTCAGAAATTCATCAGTTTGTGATATCCTGTAAAATGATGACAAAATTCTTATCTGACTTAGTAATTGGATTTATGTTTCTGAGCTGCCTGCTCCACTGTATTTTCTTTAAATAAGCCATGCTCATTTATATACTGTTTGGTAGTATTACCTAGCTCTCTTAAAGAGAAGAAAATGACCTCCTTTCAGTTAACAATGTATATTTTAATGATTCATAAAAATCTTGTTTTATGTAGCATTTTATATCTAAATTTACATAGTATATTATATTTTAGTATAAGTTTATTGCAACTATTACAACTACTGATGATCCAAGTACAGTACCTGTTGTAAAGATGATGAAGAGCTGCTGCAAAGAAACACTGTATCATTCACTAAGTTATTGGGTCAAAGGACAATTAGACCTCTAGTTGGTCCAAGCTTTTTTATCACAATGTTCATTATACTGCTCATTATAATGAGTTGTACAAAATTTTGGAGATTTTCCTAAATCTAATTGTATCTGCAATCCCATTCTATAAAACGCTATTTAAGGAATTTGTCAATACAAAAGGTTAGCCACACACCTGTAAGCCCAGCTACTCAGGAGGCTGAAGCAGGAGTGTACCTTGAACCCAGGAGGCGGAGGGTGCAGTGACCCAAGATTGTGCCATTGCACTCCAGCCTGGGTGACAGAGCAAGACTTCATCTCGAGGAAAAAAAAAAAGAAAAAGAAAAAGAAAAAAAAAAGAATTTGTCCATTTATAAAAAAATATAAAAATTCCAATCTTCCTGGCACTGGAAACGAAGTGTTTGAAATTTATTATGAAGGAAAATATGTTTCAGAACCATTAGGAGCCTCTGACTCTAATAAGAATATGCAAAGATCCATGGCACACTGTTTGCAAAGCCACATTCTGTAAATCCCACAATGGGGATCACACAGAAAAAGGTGTGAACTGCCCTGTAAATCACATGGAAAAGAAGGTGTGAACTGCCCCCTAACTAATTAACCTGGGCAAATGGCACAAGGGATATTGTGGCTATAAATTTTAGAAACAGAAGAATCTCAATATTTTAAAAGATTTTGAGGCAAATTAAGCTTCAGGCCCATAAAACATAAGGAAATAGATACAAATACAAAGAGTTAAAGAAAGGAATAGCAAAATGAGCATCATGATGAAGGTATAAAAATTGTTCTCAAGCTGTAGGCATGAAAGTGTTACGCTGTCCCTTCTTCCTCTTCATTCCAGTAATAGGGAAGACGCCCTGGAAGGGATCCATCTTAGACAGCAAATGAATTAAGCTCTAATTTAGTTAAGAACAATATTACTAGCACTAAGCAGTCTTCTACAGCAATGTATTTTCTAAGATTCAGAAAACTGTAATACACTGAAACCTCAATTGGTATAGGAGGTGACTGTGACTGTCTTTGTTCTCACACATGGGCCTCAGTAAGGCACAAAAGCCAGACCCAATGTAATATTTTGGTATTCTGAAGTTCACATGAATACAACCACAAAGTATAATGTTAAGGACTACATGTTGAACTCCTACTGTGTGCCAGACAATTTATATACCTTAATATATCATTTGTTTTTAGCTTCATCAATTATTTTTATAATTATTATTGTTTTGCAAATGTGAAAACAGAAATTCATGGATACTAAATGACTTCCTCAGGCTGTGCTAAAGAGTTGGAAATTGCAAAGCAAGTCCATCTAGCTCACAACCCCTTTATCCTTTTTATTCCAATGTGCTGCCTGAAACTACCTCGACTTACCATACAAATTATTTTTCAAACTGGATATTAACTACTTTAAATCTGATAGTCTCAATTCTTTTCCTTTATAACTAAAGTTTCGGTTTTTTGTTTGTTTGTTCGTTTTTGAGACGGAGTTTTGCTCTTGTTGCCCAGGTTGGAGTGCAATGGTGCGGTCTCAGCTCACCACAACCTCCGCCTCCTGGGTTCAAGCGATTCTCCTGCCTCAGCCTCCCGAGTAGCGGGGATTACAGGCATGTGCTACCAGACCCTGCTAATTTTGTATTTTTAGAAGAGATGAGGTTTCTCCATGTTGGTTAGGCTGGTATGGAACTCCCGACCTCGGGTGATCCACCCGCCTTGGTCTCCCAAAGTGCTAGGATTACAGGCGTGAGCCACCATATCCAGCAAGTATTATTATTCTTTATCCATCATTATAAATTATCTCCTTCTCTGAACATGTGCTAGTTCAGCTCTTAAGCCTAACTCTTCAGTTGAGTCACAAGTGTTCTGCTTTCAGTGCAGCACAGTTAGGTAGACATGAGTTATTTCATAGCTCAAAACTCTTTCTGGCATTAAAACAGAAGTAGGCAGTGAATATGGAGGGTGCTATCTTCATTGAGAAATTTTTATATAGGTGGGTCATATAAATATTATCTTAATCATCACAGTAAACTTTGGAGTTGGATACGAGATTATGAGAGGTAAAGTCGTTTGGTTAGCGCTACATAGCAACTGGTGGTCATATTGGGAAATCAAGAAGCCAGTGCTATTAATTCTTATCCAAACATTATCCATGAAGGGGCCCTAGTTAATGAATTTTATTGATTTCCATCTTCTGTGACATTCACTTCATTATAAAATAGCTTAGTTGAATTATTAAAAACTTGTTACATACACGGCACATTCTTCAGAGTCCAGGTTCACCAAGTCATCTTTCAAATGTCATTTGGCTTTGTATGTATCTTAATTTCATGGAGAAATACCATTTTATTGATGAAAGTAATCCAGCCCAAATAAAAATGGTGCTAGAGCTGTGGTCTTCTCCATCATTCTCTTGAGCTTGAATAATGTAAATACACCTATCATACATGGATGCATTAATAATGGGTTCACCATGTCTGGCTAACATATTGCCAGGGAAGGAATGCCTGCCTGAGATGGCCGGCTCACTTCCCAAGGGGGATCACAAGCCGTGTTTTGTTGGAATAAGTAGCTGCTGCCTACACAAGCACATGGTTTGATCTACAGGGAACAGTTATATAATTTTCATATGATTTCTAAAGTACAGAGAAATGTAACAGTCTCAGCAATCCACTTCAGTTACTCCTATTTTACTTAGGGAATCTCATAAGACACCATCTATACATATGCCCAAGGGATGACACTGTAAATATACATATTTCAATTTTTACTTGGAAAGAAAATTCCTGTAGCAGAGCAACTGACCAACCATATGGAAGAGAAGCCTTATATCATATTACAAGTATATGAAAAATGTTATATAATATTTAAGTAAGTACAGCAAGACTTGATAACTTTTCCCAGGCTTTTACCTAATTTAGACTTAGACCACACTTGAAATATAGTTATCAATATTTTTCATTTAATATTTCCTAATCATACAACATAAAGCACTATTTGTAGGGCACAGACCCTTCTACTAATCTGGTGGGCATTATAATAGGAGAATCTGAGTAAAAAGTAGGATATAGGTTTAGCAAATTTATCACCTAATTATACTGTTATTTTTAATGCACTTTAAAATTGCTATACTTGAACAAAAAAAGGATAAAAAATATAAAACTATAGATAGTTTAAAATGACTATTAATAACTGAGACATAACCATCCATAGTTCACATTTGAGGCATATGTTGTGTTCATCTTAGAGCCGTACCAAGCTTTGTGTTTTTATGTATTTAACTAAAAACGTTTTGTGTTTTTATGTATTTAACTTAAAAAAGGACGCTTTAATTTGAATGATTTCTTAATATGAATGATCTTTTTCTCCTATTGAGAACTTTCAACTGAAAATAGTATGCAAGCTGCATATATTTATCTTATGAATATCTAGGAAATAAACTACTTGTGCTAAAATGTTCTTGAATAATATATAAGGCAAACATTAACATTTTTAAAATTCCCAGCATTTAGCAGAGGGCCACATGGTTATAAGCATTGTTTCAATGTAGACTGTTTCAGTTGCTATGCAGCAGAAATTGTTCCAGCCTTTTGATATGGCTTAATGAAATAAGATTTGTATTCTAATAATTAAGTTTTATTCAGAAGTTTCTTTGAGCATATTTTCCTCCTCCTCTTTTTTCTTCTTTCTCTTCCTCCTTTCCTTCTCTCCCTTTTCTTCTTCCTCTTCCTTCCCTTCCCCCTCTCTCCTCTTCTTCCTCCTTTTCCTCCTCCTGTTCTTCTTCTTAATTCCTACCTTATGTCCAGCAATGGTTTAAGATTTTGCTATTTTACCATTTGGGCCCTATTTCATTCAGCCTGGGACCTATTTTCTGCTTTGCTCTATCTGAGCAATTCTACTCTCTGGTACAAGAGCAAAGAGCTGGAGGAAACTCAGTCACCAATCATCAGCACAGTGATTCTCAAGCCCGATTCATTGTCACAATAACCTGGGAAACATTTTTCTCTTTAAGCTTTACAAATTTTGAAATAATTTTAGACTTAGAGAAGAGTTGCAAAGGTAATATAATAGAGTTCCTGTATACTCTTCACCCAGCTTTATCTTGTGTTAATATCTCACATATCCTTGATACAATTATCCAAATTAAGCAATTAATTTTGGTACAGTATTATAAACTACACTACAGAGATTACTTTGCTTTCACCAGCTTTTTACTTGTCATGTTCCTGGATCCAATTGAAGATCTCATGCTGCATTTAGTTTTTATGTCTCTTTAGTCTTCTCCAATCTGTGACAATTCCTGTCTTTGCCATTTATGACTTTGACATTTTTGAAGATGACTAGTCTGTGATTTTGTAGACTGCCCCTGAATTTGAGTTTGTCTGATGTTTTCTCATCATCAGATTGAGGTTACACATTATTAGAAATGATGACACAGAGAGGATGTGACCTCTCAGTAGGTCACTCAAGAGGCACGTGATATCAGTATATTACCAGTAGTATTAACTTTGATCACTTGGCTAAGTGATGCTGCCAGGATTCTGCATTAAAAGCTGCATCTTTCTCTTTATAGTTATTAAATATTTGAAAAGAGATACTTGGAGTCTATGCAAATTTACTGGTTCCACTTCAAATTATGCCCACCAATTTTAGCATTCATAGATAGATTTTCCTGTAGCAATTATTATTTTTAGAGTGATTTCTATATTCCTTATTCTTTGGATATTTGTGATTTGGAATTTTCTATAAGAAAGAATATTCACTTCTACCTCATTTAAAATTTTTCAGTAATTTATTTCTATTAGTATAGACTCATGTAATTTTATCATAGTCCTTGGGTTATAATCTGATACTATCTTTCTTTCCTTGCTCAAATTATTCCCACTTTGAACATTAGAAGCTCTTTCAAGTTGGTTAGTGGGCCCTTTCAATATGCCACTGTTTTTGTTTTTTGTTTTTTTTTCTTAGCAAATCCTTAAAATCTGGTACACAAGGTGTCCCAGATTCTCTGCACCTGCCCTGGAATCAATGAACTCTCCAAGGCATTCTAGTTATTGTTTTTTGAAAGATGATGTTTAGAAACCAAAATCTGGACATTAAGTGTGCTCACTGTTACTGGGGCCTCACACTTTGCAGCCTCTCTCAGTGTATACAGCTAGGAAATATATGCATGTTATGCTAATTCATGTGCACACATACAATTCTCAGCATATATTTTAAAAAATTATTCCATGTTAATATCTCTGACTTCAGTACCATAGGGTGGTTCATACTAATTTTCTAATTTTCTGTCCTCTTTATTTGCATGCATTTTTGTAATTGTTTTCTTTGCTTTTAAAGCCTAATATTATTAAAATATCTTTCATTTTTAGAATAGTGTAAGCACCCATTTTATTTCTTCTATATCCAAGCTAATTATTAATACTTTTTTGTTTGCTATGAAAAAATCAAAAAATTAAAAAGAACTTTGTTTCCCGATTCTTACCAGAAAATCTCCCTCAATTTGCTACAATTTTTAACTATCATTTTTGCCAACTTTATTTTGAAATAATTTTACCCTCATTTAGAAGTTGCAAAAATAGTACAAAAATTTATTCTGTAACTTCGGTAGCTTCCCCTACAGATAACATCTTTGGAAACTATAGTAAAATGAGCAAAACCAGTATTACATAATTCACACTTGCACAATACTATTAACTAAACTCAGACCTTATTGGAGTTTTGCAAGTTTTTACATGCACTCATGTTTTTTGCATTGTGGGGAGGTGTACAGTCCTGTGGAATTTTGTCATACATATTGATTTGTGAAACCACTATGGTAATCAGGACACACAACTGTCTGATCACTCCAAAAAGCTCCTTCTTGCTCCTTTATAGTCACACTCTCTCCCCAGTCCCAACTCTTGGCACTCACAGATTAGTTCTCCATCACTATAATTCTGCCATTTCTAAGAATTTTATATGAAATGTAATCATTCTGTAGGTTGCCATTTGAGATATGCTTTTCACTGAGCATAATGCCTTGGGTTCCATCCAAATTGTTGAGTTATATCAGATGACACAGGCATACCACTATTGCTCGGGGAATATGTTTAGTTAAGTAGATGGGGCCCCTCATCATTAAAAAAGAAGTTATATCTTGCAACTTTTTGATTCAGTTTTAACAGAAATTCTAGGTTTGAAACCACAAACATTGAATTTCCTTTTTTAGTAGTAAACTCAAGGGATTTGACTAAGCTGGATGACTTTAATTTCCTTTTATGATCTAGAACCTTGTAAAATGATTTTAAAAATAAAGCCCAACAGGATATAAGGCATTTAAGGCATGCAGTAAATTCTGTAGTTTTGCTCTTCAGATATTGTGTCTCTATTTATTCAAGGTTGTTTTGCCCCCCTCCTTTCCCCTCCGAAATAATTACTTTAGTCTGATAATGGCATTCTGAGGAGGGCAGGGTTGGGAAAGCATAATATCTAATGAGGTCAAAAATAATAACACATCTTCTGGCTTTGGGGATGCCATGTGGCACAATTCAGGCTAATTAGAGTCAACATACTAACTTCTGGGATTTTTGTGACAATTGACAAGAAGAGAAATTTTGTTCTGCTGAATTCTTCATACCATAATATGGAGGCAGCCAGCCTAGAATGAAACTACCCAGAAGAAAGCAATGCTGAGAAATGGAGAAAAAGCAAATCCTGCTAACATCATTTGAATATTTAGATCAGTCCACCTTAGCTATAAATTAATCCTTTTGCCTGCTCTGTGAAAATGGATATGTCCCTTTAAAAATGTTTCCTTTGCCGGCCGGGCGCAGTGGCTCACGCCTGTAATCCCAGCACTTTGGGAGGCCGAGGCGGGTGGATCACAAGGTCAGGAGATTGAGACCATCCTGGCTAACACGGTGAAATCCTGTCTCTACTAAAAATACAAAAAAATTAGCTGGGCGTGGTGGCGGGCGCCTGTAGTCCCAGCTGCTGGGGAGGCTGAGGCAGGAGAATGGCGTGAACCCGGGAGGCGGAGCTTGCAGTGAGCCGAGATTGCGCCACTGCACTCCAGCCTGGGCAACAGAGCAAGACTCATCTCAAAAAACAAAAACAAAAACAAAAAAAAAAACAAAAAAAATTTTTTTTCCTTTCCCAGCTGCTACCATGCTAAACTCTATCATCAGTAGAGGGCGATAGAGAGACACTGCAGAAGAAAATGGGATTTTGCTTCCTAGAGCCTGTATGCTGGCTCCGCAGGCTCCTGCAGCACAGGCAGCTTCTCCAGCACCCAGCCCCTCCAGTGTACACACCTTCCTCAGTGCCCAGCTTCTGCAGTCCCTCCTCACAAAGCAGTTTCGTAGCAGAGTCCTCTAGTGAGATACCTCCACATGAATTTTTCTGGCACTCTGGAGGGCTAATTTCAAGCATGAAATGAAGGAGGACTTGGCAGAAAATTCTATGGGCACAGCACCACCGTGAGGTCTAGTGAGTCAAGGCCATAGCGTCTCCAGAGAGCTCTGGATCTCAGCCTCGGGTATGAGCTTTTCCTTGGGTGCTCAATTCCCCCCGACAGAAGTAGTGGCTGCTCCTTAGATCTGCTATTCTTATATTCTTTAGAGTACTTTTTACTTATTAGCCAATCCCTGCATACTCTAATTCCCTGTAATAGTTAATCATTCTTTATATTAAACTGTCCCTGTTCAAATTACTATGCGGTTTCTCTCTCCTGATTGGACCCAGATTGATACGCCATGCCTGAAGGCTGATCTTCCCTTGGACTTCTCAATTTTATGTTCTAATAAATTCCATTTTTTTGCTGATGTTGGCTTGAGTTGAGTTTTTGTAACTAGAACTAGAAAAGTTCTGATACAACTGAGATGCATTAAATTAATAGGAAGGCTAATGTAGAGAAAATTATTTTAGAAAGCCCCATATTTTTTAAAGATAGACTTGATATTCAAACACTGTTAACAAAAATTCAAATTCTAGCAAACTTTTTTCTCAGCTACTTAGGAATAATATTATAATGATAACTTGGAATTTTCTCTAAATTGTATATATGTGTGTGTGAGTGTGTGTGTGTGTGTAGTAGGTATAAAACTAAACTGTGGGTAAATTTCACAACTCTGATACAAGAATGTATAGGTTGGTGCAAAAGTAATCACGGTTTTTACTATTACTTTTAATGGCAAAAACTGTGATAACTTTTGCACCAACCTAATATTATGAGGGACATGTTTCATGCAGCATACCTTCCCACATCCAGGGAACAGCCCTTCTTCCAGGGAATTCTGGGAACTCTGTGATGGTGAATCAATGCAATCAAACATTAAGCAGTTAATGCACCTATATTGATCCAGAGACTATCCAATATTAACATGTGTGAATGAGTCAAGTTGAGCATGTGTGAATGAGTGAGGGAAGATTTAATATATTAATAAGATACAAGTACAATAAGCTGTGTATCCTTAAGCAAAGAAATACTACAAGTTACTTTTAGTTTTGGCTTTGTGTTTTTATTATTTTGTGTTTGCTCTTAGCTTAATTTTTTTTTTACCATATTACATTAACTGAAAATATCTCCCCTATTTGAGGAAGAGACATAAATTGTGTGGTCATGTTAAAATTACAAAATAACAAAATCTGTAAGGTCTCTCAAAGATACTATCCAAGTGAGAAAATAACATACAAATAAAGAGTCTTGTTCCAGATTCTGATTGCCAAAATACAAGAAGGACCCCCATAATTTGGATATGAGTATTTAATAATTGTCACTTATCTACAAATTTCCAAATAATTAAAATGACAAGAAAAATATTCTAGGTAGAATTTGCCACTAAAGTCAGATCAATAATATTTTAAAACTTAAAGAACCATTGACAAAAACCCAAACAAGCAGGGTGTCAACTCTATTATGCTGGAATCTACAACCAATACACCATATTGCATTCCAGAGGGAGAAAAAGGAAGGGAATAGAAAATAGAGCCAACACAGAGAGAATGATGAAGAAAAGGCCATTAGATTATTACTGTATTTTCTTGCCTCAGGAATAACATTAATTCCTATGTATGAACTTTGTATAAATTTCTATATCCATGCACACATCAGTTCTGAGACTGATGCCAGTTTTGAAAGTGTTGAAGTAGGCAATACTGTAACATGGAATGGAAGAAGCATGGTGGTGAGAGGTAATATTCCTCTGTTTTCCTGGAGGGACTTCCTTGGCACTGGAGATTATCTACGAATTCCGAAAAGGATCTTTGCTGAGTAAACATTATTCCTTTTCCCCAGTCATTATACTTCTCAAGCTGTTGTTTAAGGGGGATAACCCAAGAGGTACAAGAGGGTGGACCTTTATTTCATCAGCTGCAGAACAATGTCACACCAACCAGTGCAGATGAAAAGAGAGTGCCTGCATGGCTGCAGGCTCAGTGTTACTCATTCAAAAGTCACATAATTGAAATTGTCTAAAATATGTTGAAGCTAATGTTTAAATAAAAGGATTTGCAGGTCGGGTGCAGTGGCTCTCCCCTGTAATCCTAGCACTTTGGGAGGCAGAGGTGGGCAGATCACGAGGTCAGGAGTTCAAGACCAGCCTGGCCAACATGGCGAAACCCTGTCTCTACTGAAAATACAAACATTAGCCAGGTGTGGTGGCGCATGCCTGTAATCCTGGCCACTCGGGAGGCTGAGGGAGGAGAATTTCTTGAACCCAGGAAGCGGAGGTTGCAGTGAGCCAAGATCATGCCACTGCACTCCAGCCTGGGGGTCAAGGTGAGACTCTGTCTCGAAAAAAAATAAAAAAGAATATGCAGTAACACTTTGAAGATGAAAGGATATTTAAAAAGCATTGTATACAATTATATTTGGGAAGTATTCTTTCTCCCTTTGTACACATCATTGATCATGTCACTGGCTTAATAATATTACAAAAAGTGTTCTGAAAACTTTAGAAAAATAATCTTCAGTGGCATATAACATCTCTGTTTCACTCTACCACTTTAGTATTTCAATGGAATTCAGATATCCTTTTGACAGATGTAAACTGCATTATAATGGCTTTACACAGCCCCCATTCGGCTGTTGGAAACTACTCTTACAAATAGCAGAAATGGTAATAGAAAATAGACCCTTCTGTTAAAAATAAAGATATAGTACAAAGAATTTTGTCCCTCAGAGTTCCAGAATATATAGTTTTATCCCTCTCTATGATATATTAATATATTTGGATTGTTTGATTAAGCCATTTCCTCTGAGCATGAGAAATACTGTTCCCAAAAGAAAATAGCAAGTTGTATGACAACTCTTCTTAGTCACTGCTTCATACTCTTAAATAAATCACAAAACTTTCTTCTCAGGTGATGCCTTAGTAAATTCTCTTAAAAACTGTTCTATTTATATCCCCAGAATTTTGCTGTTTCCTTTTCTTATATTATGCTTACAATGAATCACAAATAATCAAAAAGAAGGCACTGCTTCTTGTGTGTGTGTTTTTGGCAACATGTGGTGTGCCATGAGCAGTGGATAAGTATGAAGGAAAACACACTTAGGGACTACTTATATTTTCTTTTCTATGTACACATAAGAACATTCTATTTTTGTGACAGGAAATACTCTAATCTCATTCCCTCACATATTTTATCTGAGATTTTAAAAAAAGAGTATACACAAAATGAGGGTCATCATTTTAAAACTTTTAAGACATGTTTAAAAATATAATGTGATGACAGAGTTTGCCAGATGCCATAAATAGAACTAAAACAGGCAGGATTATCCTATTCTTTGAATATTCTGTGGGAAATAAGGTTTGAAATTTCTACTTGCCCTGTTTTCATTTTTTTCAGGCTATGTTTTAGGAGCTTAGTAACTTACCAGCCCCACTATTTCAAAACCATGGCCAGAAATCAAAGCAGACATCTCTAAGAAAAAATCTTTTAAGATCTAGAAGCAAAAGACATGCTTAACTTTGTTTCTTTAAGGATTCTTTATCACAAAAGCTTGTCGTAAATGAGCCGTTTGAATTATCACTGGAGTTTTTCGAAATATACATTTTAGAGTTACTTCAGACTCAAATATGTGCATTAAGCTTACTATTTAGACAAACCTAAAGCCAATAAATTCCATGCTACTTCATGTTTCTACAGGTAGAGGGTAGTGAATGGTGTGTGCTTTAACATTTATGACCTCCTGCTAACACAAAATTTCATTTAAAAAATTTATTGGTGTTATATAACTGGAAACTAACTTTGCTTCTCTTATATCTGTCAACTCTCTATTTATCTTATTGTCTTTAATTTATGATGCCAGAAAAAATATTACCCTATTTCAACAAGAATTTCTTCAGTACTGAAAAACAATGGATTCTCTGCATACAGTGACATTTTTGAGCCTAATTAAATAATGACAGGGAGTTAAAACAAGTCCAAGTATTAGTTGATGGGTGCAATTTGTTGATGTTCTTCAGTGGTGCTTTACAATAAGATCTGACAGAGCTTCAAACTGTACTACAATAAATCAACTTGATGATCTCAGATTTCTAAAACAGGAACTATACTGGATCTTTGTGATCAGATATTTCCTGAGAAAATAAAGCCAAACTGAGAAAATGTGTGTAGAGAGAGCTGAGACAATCAAGGAGAGAAATTGCCTGAAGTAAGAAAAATGTTTTTTTAAGAAAGGAAAAGGAGAGTCCATAGGCTGGATTTCAGGGAAACATTTTTTTTTGAGGGTTCAGATAAGCTATGAGGACAAATGCAAGAAATGAAAAAAATTTTAAGAGCTATTGCAATAAATTCAGAATTGTAACATGTTCTAATATAGTCCAAGAAACTTCACTGGATTAAAGAAAATATTTATTGTTACTGAGCCATGTTTCTTTAAAGCAGTTTGTGCTATGAGTAGAACATGTGTGGCTTGGCTTTTATATTGGTAACACGGGATACTCCATTTTTCTTCCTTGGCCTTGATTTTAGGATGTTTCTTCAGGACCAGTATATTCTGAATTCTCTTAATCCTGACAATCATGTTTTATTTGAAATATAGTTTTTAAAACCGTCAAAAGTTTAGATTTTTATTGGAGTATGACATTATATTTTCCCATATTTGTATTATTGATTACTAAATTGCTTCAAGCTCATTTAAAAAAAAGCCTGATTGTTAGGACAAATTAGAATTGCCACCCCATTTGTTCCCATTATCAATATTCAAATGTCATCATTGACAGTTTTGTTGTATATTTCTGCTCTCTACTATACATCTTCAAGAACACAAATTTTTCAGTATCGTTTTTGCTTCCTTGTAACTCAAACCTGACCACATAATTTAACTAAAAAGCACAGTTCTTTTCATTAGGCTGGCTCTTGAGCTCCATTAAAGGATACACAATGCACAACTGGACACTACTGACCACCTCCACCTTTACTTGGGAAATTCCCATTTCCTATCAAAACATTTGAAATTTTTTTTGCCTCCATGTCCGCATTTGTACTACTCAAGATAGGCTAAATTATGCTGCACTAACAAGCAGTTCTACAACAAAGATTATTTCTGACTTATACCAGTCCAATGTGGGTCAGCAGAGTCCTTAGCTCATCATAGTCACTCAAGCACCTCAATATGTGCTTCCATGATCCCATAGCCATTGGAAGGGCACACGATGACCCCAATCATTGCACCTAAATCTTCTACATGGAAGTGGGACACATCACTTCTGCTCATTCTTCATTGGTCAAAGCAAGTTATCTGGCCATGACTAACTTTAAAGGAGGGGAGAGATATAATTGATATAACTCTCTTTCGTGCCTGGAGAGAAGAGAGGTGGAAATATTTGGTGAATACCTTTCATAACTATCTTGGTATTTTAACACATACAATTTCTTTCCTGGTGTCACTTTTCAAATCTTAATCACTTAGTAGAGAGCAATATTTTACGTTTGTACCTCTTATCTTTGCCGTTAAATATGCCTTCTTGCTCAATCTGAATATGTTATAGTATCAGAATTTATAACACTGAACACATTGATGATAAGTTCATTCTGAAAAACAAAAATATAAAAGGCCTATGCAGATGCCCACAATATGGACATTTAGTTCTAACCCTACCTACTTTTTCAGGCAGCTGCCCTCATACGCCATTTAATGGAGTTCTTCCCTTTCTGTGATTCTTTATTTCTTTGTTTGGTTAAAAAGGGGAAGGACACAACAGGTTTTGACTAGCATTGGATTCTCAATCTGCTGCATAAGCCTACTATTTAGTTCTTACAGACCTTAGTGACAATAAATGTTTACTGATTAATGGGTAAAAGCCTGATATATTTATTTTTAGACAAGGTTTTAATTTTTTCCAATGTAGTTCATGAAGAGGAAAATCATATGTGAAACAGTCACACTAAACTTGGCTGAAAACAAAAGGCTATGACTACACTGCCTGGAAGAATGCTTATTCAATATTCCCTAGACTAGCATATTTCTCAGTAGAGACAAGAGCATATACTGTAGCCATGGAAAATCTGGAGAACTAAGCATTTGAAAATACCATTTATACTACATCAAACTTGAGCCCACTCAGGCAATGTAAATCTTTCCCATATGTGATGACTACTTGTTGTCCAGCTTCCAGTTCTAAAGAGACACTGTAAATATCCCAAATAGTCCTTTTTAACTCCTACCAAGAGTCTGTCTTTATGCTTGTGGTTGAAAGAACAGTTCTCTAATAAATGTGAAGGAGAGATTTTTTACTCTGGGAAGAGCAAAAGGATATAATCTTGTATTTCAGGTATAAATTGAAACCATTTTCATATCTCAGAATGAGTGTAAATTTCAATAAAAATAAGTTTCCCTTAAAATCTTAGAGACAATAAAACTAAAGACAGACAAATGATTGTTTTCAAGATTGATTGTATCTTGAATTATAAATTGGAACCTAAAATTCTCAATGTTTTGGTGCAAGATACAGTTATTGGAACCATTTTCAGAGCTTCAAATCAAGATATGGTGTGAAAAAGAATGATTTGTGTGCTACATGGGATGCAAGAGACAGTCCGAGAGGTATAATACAGCTAGTAAATTGTCAACTTCCCAAGGCATTTAGATGACTTAAAGCAGTGCTTTCCAAAGTGTGGTCCATGGACCACCTGTGCCATAATCACCTGGAGTTTTTGTTAAAATGCATATTCTGGGGCCCCATATCAGATTAGTTGAATCAGATACTTTGGGCATAGGGCCTAGAAATTTGCATTTTAAGTTCTTCAAGTGATTTCTGCACCTAATAAAAAAAATTGTAATGTACACAGCTTTATTGAGAGAAGAAAAGAGGAAAGGATATGTAAAGTCAGGGCATTGGAAGACAGTCCAGAAACGTAAGCAATGACTAATGAAACATTCTTACTTAGATCTTAAAGCAAGGAGATACAAAAATCCAATAGTCTTAGAAGACAAAATATCATACTGATGGTTGAGTAGGACTTCTCAAGAAGATTCTAGTATATCCTTAGCATTGTCTCTCGAGGAGAAGGCAATCATAATCTCCAGCAATAGTTTCTACAGTGAATGCACTGGAACGGTTGGCATCAACTTCTCCATTCCCCTAAGACCTTCTGGCAGTTTACCACGAATGTCAAAAGTCCAGAACAGGGTAGCCCTGAAGAATACCTGACATTCTCTATAGGTTTGCAATATAATACGCTTTTCTGTACTACCACTTGGCTCTCACTGCCAACTCAGTTTTTCTTCATACTCTGTAGCATCAGATGTTGGTTCTATTATAAGTTGAGTTTTTGCTTTTTTGGTGTCTCTGTTCCTATCTAATTCCCAGTGCTCGATGAGCCTGAATCTTTCTTGCCATTTCACTCTTAAGAAGAGTTTTATCCCTGAACTCCAGCCAACCTGCGGACTGATTCTCTCTTTAAAAAAAAAGAAAAAGAAAAAGTCTGCCTGATCTGTTTAGTATTGCCTTTTCTTTGATTCTCTGTAGAGTTTCTATGCCATTTATGGGCATGCATCTCTTTGAATCTTGATGTGTTCACCAACACAGGTGCTCTCCAAAATCCCATCTTTTTTTTTTTTTTTTTTAATGGAGGTTCCATTACATAGGCATGATTAAGTAAATTATTGACCAAGGGTAATTAACTCAGACTTCAGCCCCTCTCCTGCCTCTGGAGGTTGAGTGCTGGGACTGAAAGTTCCAACATTCTAATTGTGCCTTGGCCTTTCTGGAGACCAGACCCTATGCTGGAGCTATCTAGGGGCTCCAGCCACAAGTCATCTCATTAGCATACAAAAGACACTCTCATCACTCTAGAGATTCCATGGATTTTGAAAGCTGTGTCCCAGGAGAAAGGAACAAAGGCCAAATATGTATTTCTTATTATGCCACATCCTCGAGAAAACAGAAGTAATTTTCCTTTCTGTCCTTGATCTCAATGGAGCCCATATCTTAGAACGGGTGTTACTTTCTGGGAATCTTAGCTGTACTTTAAGAACTTGGGAAAAGATCACTCATTACCAGTATGGGCTCAGTTTATAAGGCACTTTCAGCCAAGCAACAATCCTTTTGAGTGATTTATGAAAATTTCTGCATTTGCTTTGTGTCACTTAAGATAACACTGGTAAGGAGTGGAAAGATAATAAATGTTTGTGATCCTTAGAGACCAGAATTTGTATGAAATATAAACTAAAATCTGAAGCTCTATTAAACCGTCTAAAGTGGAGATTCTCCTGTAAGATTACTTTATTATTCCCTAATCCTCTCACCTCTATGGTCAAGACCTAACCAGGTCAAATCCTACACTTCGTATTTCAAGCTTTGAAATCCCTCCAGCTTCAAAAAAATAAAGTATACTTTACACTTTCGATAAGATTATAAACCATTATTACCAACCAAAATTTTTAATAGCAAAATAGATAGCTAAAAATGATTGGTTTAAGTTTAAAATATAATTTGTGTAGAAGGAATAGATGTTAGTCTATAAAACCAGGTGTATAAGACATAACTTCCTTATTTTTTTATATTGCCAGGTGGCTGAAACTTAATTTTGATTAACTTACTTTCTTTATATCATCTGATGTCAGGAACAGAGAGAGTTACATGTCCTGGGTGGGGATGAGGGGGAATCTGGTCTGTGGTCATCATCTCCTGCGCACATAGGCATCTCTGATATACTGGCTTCCTCATCCCTGTGTGTTCCTAGGCTTAAGTCCACAGACCCTGTGGCTACGTTTGGGCTTCTCTGGATTTGTCTCTCTCACCACTCCTTCTCTTCCTTTCTTGGCTGCATTTAGGGCATGGGGTTAACCTGGGAGGCTGTTTTGGACACATCTTCTTAGACACCCATTTCTAATGACCTGGCACTATGCAGGGCACTAAAAAGTGATTCAAGTTTTGCAGCCTTCATGCACTTTACATGGGAAGTGATCTACAGGTTCCTTTGCTCTTAGATTTTCCCAGTGTGATCTGGGTTTTCAGTTCTGTCCCCCATGTACTCAGCTCAGGGAGTACCCAGCATGGTGTGGCAGAACTTGGAGCACTTAGGATCCTGCCACCCCTCAAGAACCTGATGTCTCTTTGTATCTCCTCTGATTCTGCCTTTGGCTCCATTACCATGAAAATTATTAATATCTGCATTATTTGCTCTTAGTGGTAGGGTAAAGAAATCTGTTTTATTTTGTTGTTGTCATTATAATTTAAAATTTGAACCCTGAGTCCTTATGGAGTTAGATTTTTTTGAAACTCAAAAGCTGTTACAAACAAAAAATCCAAAACACTTTTTTTTGAATTATCCCTTTTCTTAGGCAATATTTGTCACAAAATAAATGGGATTGGAGCAAAGCCAAATGCAAGGAGGTAGACCACGAGCTAACATCTCAAAATATCTCTCAAATGTCAGCATTGAGTCTAAGTCCCCATCATGTGAAGCACAACTGCTGAAACTCCAACAAATGGTGAAGAATCTAAGATAAACAAAGTTGAATGAGTCACCTGAATGGTCATCTGCTTTATTATGAAATCTGAGCAAATAAGAAATGAAATATATGGAGAGCAAAGGCCTGGAATATTTTACCAAAAGGGAAGAAAAGCAAGCTCATATCCTCTTGTTAGTGTCTTTTAACTTTCCAGTCACTTAATTAAATGTCCACTGCGACAGGCCGGGCAATCTGTCAGCACATTCTCACAGAGGATATGTCCACATTTGTAACAAGACCAGAGCAATACTGGACCCCAAAATTTGGGATTTGTGGGTGAAACACTGTGCTCAGACAAATATGTAAGACAAAGCCCCTGCCCTCAAAGAGCTTACAGTCCAGCTGAGCTTGAATGGACTGGTTAGTAAGAAGTCAAAATGTGAAGTGCTGAAAGTCACAGCAAAGTTTTGAAAGAGGAGGGATGAAGTAAAGTGATTCAGAAGTAATGATTCCAGAAAAACAAGAACTGGGAAAACTTCTCTGGGCTGAAAAACCACCTGCATGTGGCAAACCATACAAAGGTGAGAAAGTACAGAAATGCTGAAGCCAGCCATGTATATGAGAAAGTGGGCAGAGTTAGTGACAAGCCTGAGGGGAAGGAAGAAGGGAAGCATTCAACATTTACTCTAATTGGGTTTGTTGTCCCAAACAATTTCCCCCAATATCTCTGTGTGTGTGTGTTCATAAGAGATACAGTACTTCATATTATAAAACTGCCACAATATCATGTTAATACTTTTTGAAATGCATATCTCTGACACAAAGATTTGCTTTACTTCAGAGAATACTGTGGAGCATTGGGAGCTGCACTTTGGGGGCGATTCATAAATATTTTATTATTTTATTTGTTATGTATGCCACTAATTCCCATTTCAAGAGCTACAGAAGTTCAAAGTCAAGAAAACATTGTGTGGAAGGCTTCCCCTACTAAAAAGTAGCTCCTATGAATGAAAGAGGATGGATTTCTAAGATGTTATTCCTGCTGACAGCCAAAGATGAAGAGAGAAAGGAAGAGAAGCCTCAGGTTTATTTCTGCTGCAGGTTTGAGACTTTGCAATGGAATTAATACTCCAAGAAGTTGCCAGTATGGCTGCAGGTTCTTAATGAGGAAACACATTCTAGAGTTGCTATGTGATTATTGATAAGTTCTTAACTTAGTTTGGACAGTTTTGGTCATTAGAGAAATATGTGGGGGTTAATTACGAGATCATTAAGATCCCATCCAACTTCCCAATTGTATGACTTATGCAACTTCCATTTATAAGTAATTAGTTAATTAAGGAAATGAAATAGGCCATAGATGTTAAGAAAAAGCCTAAGTCCTTTTACAGAAATAAAAAAAAAAGGTAGTAGTGGTCTCTGAGAGAAGCATTAGAAGAAACACTAACAACAGCCTTCCAAAAACCCATACTGGGTATAAGAAATGATGGTCACTTTATCTTCCCAAAGTGACAAGGAGGTGTCACTCTGGAAAATTAATTTATGACTCTAGGGTAGCAGTTATAGCAAAATAATATTCCTGGCACATGTCTGAAGACCCTTAGTCATTACTTTGAAGTATTTCCACTTAAATTTGACAACGGCACTGATGGATTCTTAAATTGAAAGAAAGGACAGTATTCTGGCAAATGAGGCAGCCTGGTGTCAAAAAATGTGGGATAGGTTTCTGGCTACTCCAGTTGCTTGTTTTGTGACACTAAGAATAAATAAAGAAAACCACATATAAGCATTGAACAAAGGAAAGTGTTTATTTGCGTTATGTAGTTTGTAATTGTTAAAAAGAAAAAAAATCTGTTTTACTTTTCTTGCTGCTCTTTCTTAAAAAAACAAAACAAAACAAAATAACAACAACAACAACAAAAACAGAACAAGGAGATGATTTTATCTCAAAATAAAATATAATACTCACTTGCCTTTGTTTTACCACCACTTGCAATCGGGCCAAGACCATTGGTATTATCTGAATTTAACTTTACTGTAGACTTCTTCAAAACCCAAATTGAACTCAGAGAATAAAGCAGTCTCTTTAAGATAAATTTGATTCCATTTTTATAATGTCTAGTACAAACAGAACAAAATGTTTTCTTTTGAGTGCTGAATGAACAATATATGGGAAATGCTCAGAGCACTGTGGCTGGCACATAGAAGGTTTTGACATAGGTTATTCATTATTGACACCCTGAAACTGAGTAACACACAGGATGACACACGTGAATGCACCAAAGCTGGACCTCAAATTCTGAAATTCAACTTTACAGCCTCTGCTTCTGTCCATCTGCTAAGGACTCATTGAAAAGTTGGGGGGTATAATTATATCTATCTATATTTATGTGTCTATATCTAGATAGGAAAGCAGATAGAGAGATAGAGAGATAGATAGATAGATAGATAGATAGATAGATAGATAGATAGATAGATAGATAGAGATATATAATCATCTTCAAATTGCCAAATGTATAGAGGATAGACTGTAGTAGAAAAGGATTGGGGCGGGGACAGTAGGCTAACAAGAGGGAATTAAATTCTGAGCAAGAATGTGGCCATGGAAATAAAAAGGAAAAATGCCAAGGAAATGGTTGCTAAAATTCTAATTGGCACCTGGTTGTATAAAAAGTGATGGAGGAGATGAAAGATGGAAGGCTAGTTTGACTGAGGGAAAGACATGGAGTTTGAAGCACTGGAATACCATAGACAGCATTGAATAGGAGGCCCTGACCAGCAGGGCAACTGTCTGAGGTTGTGCAGGCTGAGCAGGGGCTGAAATCCAGCTCAGTTTGCTGCCAAGCTGAAGATCCTGATGCGAGCATTGTGCATCTGGAGGAAGGGGACGTTTGTTACAACTCGCACAAAGGGTGGAAGAGGCTTTGCTGATCAGATATCCACATTGAGCTTTAAGATGAAGCCATAGGCCTATATGAAATTTTCCAAGGAAGAAAGACTAAGAGAGAAAACAAAATAAACACAGACACTGAAACCAAGAAGGTGGGAAGAAAACAGGAGCCCTCTAACAAGAGGGAAGAAAAAAAAAAGCCTAGGAGAGGGGCAGAGCCATAGGCTATGCACTAGATCTCTACAAGATCTCTAATATCAAAAGACAGAACTATTTCAAGAAGAGCATGAGGGTAAACAGTATAGATGGCAGAAAGAACAGAAGGTGAAGACAGAGATAAAAAGCTGTTGAATTTAACTGTTAATTCAGCCATCATGAGCAACCTCTGAGAGGTCATTTCAATATTGTGGTAGAAATAATGCCAAAGTGCAAAGGGCAATCAACTCAGAGGGAGGCAAGGGAGAAGAAACAAAAAATATAAATTTTTCTTGGCACCAGGAAAAAAGAACATGGTTGAAAAGGCTGAAGATTTGTTTGTTTGTTTCATGTAGAAGAGGCCTGAACATCGTTGTGCAGTGAGGAAAAGCAAAGGTGCAAGTAAAAGGACATAATTTATGAAGCAAGTCCCGGTTCCATCTTCATAAATATTTTGTTTAAAAGTTCCATAAACACCAGTGGCCCAGGAAATGCTTTAGCAAATACTCATTAACAAAATGACAGCTATTTAAAAATGTTCCCATAGCTATCATATGTTTATCACTCCTTGAGAATAAAGTCTGGCATGGAATCGTGACTGTTTTCTTTAGTATGAGAACCCTTCCACTCCCTGGGGATTTTCAGAGAATGGGGTACATGATTGACCTCTTACTCAGACAGAAGGAAATTATGCTTTCACTTCCTGCCCCCTTATGTATTTGTCACTCAGTCATTACTTCTGGCTAGATACAGATATTAGACTGAAAGCTTGGAAGCCAAGGTTCTAGATCAGTGATATTTCAGGACTAGTTCTCCTACTCTTAAAAAAAAAAAAGTGATCAGGACTCACTAATTTCCAAGTCATTTCAGTTCTGAAATAATCAAATGAGCAAAGTCATATGTAAAAGAATGCTTATCCTAATTTTATTCACAGCAGAAGTCACTGAAACAATGTAGGTCCCCAACAATAGGAGCCATGTTCTATTATGTACAGTATAACCATAGAATGGAAGAATACACAACAGTAAAATTTTTTTTCAAAGTGTTCTGATTGATATAAAACAAATAATTTCCACAATACCTACAGCAAAAGAAACAAAACCAAAAAAGAAAAGGAGGGGGGTTATAGAATAACACTTGAGACCTTCTTGTCCTCCAATTCCACTTTCTGAATTATTATTGACTGTAGATACCCGATGCTTTTTCTTCTGGCAATTTACAGTTCCAAATTACTGTTTGCTAACAGTAATTTCAGAATTTATTAAATGGCTTTGCTTAATGAACTGTTCATGTTTTAGCATGATTCAGCAGTATACTAAGTAACAAATACTCCAATAATCAAATATGAAATAAAACATAGCAGTTTTAACATCATTTTATTTGTCGATGTCTTTTTAAATTAAGGTTTGAAAGTAATAGTCATTCAACAAACATTTATTTCATGATTAAGATGTATTAATACAAAAAGAACCTTGGATTCATATTACCTCTTCAACTGTCCAGAAGCTCCAATTTAATATGTTAAACAAAGGCCAATATGTAGGAACATACTTGAGTCAGTTTGAGTATCTTTTTTCCCTGGGAGATTGTAATTGAAAATGAACTAAATGTGGATTTTTCAAAGAACAAAGCATTTATCTCTTTCTCTGTTCAACAACTTCAGAAATCTCAATATCTTCTCTTCCCTGAACACAATCAAAAGCACTAAGCTTGACAGTTCCTTGGGAAACATAAATCTTGCTCACTGAATTCTAGTTTATAAGGGGCTGAATTCTGAGGCTTCTGGAGAATTCTCATAAGGTTGTACTAAGAAGCACCCTTATAAGGTGTTATCAGTGAATGCTAACATGCATTAATTCATTTAAATGGTTGTTTCCTTTTCCAGGTTTGAAAAGTATCTTTCTAAATCGAAGTCTTCCTAAGCGTGTATTCAAAATGACACTGACATTTCAGGAATTTTAAATTTAGGTCTTATGGTACAAAAGTTCTAAATTTAAAATACATATTCTTTAGTATGTCGAATTTCCTATTTAGGTATGAACACGAAAATTAAATTTCGATTAAAATGAAAGAGGAGTCAAGTGAGGAAAAGCTTTACTGAATTGACTTAACATAGCATATTTTCAGTTTAAAACAGCGGTGTTTCAATTGGAATAACATTTCATTTTAAAATAAGTCATGCCACCTAACTGAAGGTAGGAAGCAAAAATAAGCACAATTTCTAGACAATTGTTTTTTTTTTCTTTTTTTTTTCTTTTTTTTTTTTTTTGAGATAGAATCTCACTCTGTTGCCCATATTGGAGTGCAGTGGTGTGATCTCGGCTCACTGAAACCTCCGCCTACCAGGTTGCAGTGATGCTCCTACCTCAGCCTCCCGGGTAGCTGGGATTACAGACATGCGCCACCGTGCCTGGCTAATTTTTTTATTTTTTGTAGTAGAGATGGGGTTTCACCATGTTGGCCAGGCTGCCCTCGAACTCCTGACCTCAAGTGATTCGTCCGCCTTGGCCTCCCAAAGTGCTGGGATTACAGGTGTGAATCACCATGCCTGGCCTAGAGAATTGTTTTAGACAAAGTTAACAAACATATGCATATCCCAAATTCATTATTGCAGACAAAAGCCAGTCTCTAATTCATTGTTTCAAACAGAAAAGTTTGTCATATACACCATCTGATGCTTTAACACTTAGGAAAAATTTCTACAGTGACTAGGTGAAACTTGTATTTTTTTAAAAATTAAAGAAAAATGAGCTTCTAATACAAAAGTCTTCACAATGTGATTCCAAATAAAGTTAAATGATCAAGTATTTAGCCAAGGAATCTAATTAAAGTTGAAACATAGAATTGCCCTGGACTCAGCTTATAGCTTAATAAATGTATGTAATATATCCAGTTTTTTTCTTTTGTAGAGTGAGATTAATAAAAGTGACTACTATCATTTTCAAGATCTTTGAGAAATCAGTGATTCGTTTTGCTCTAAAATGCACAATATAAAAATATTAGAAGAAAACACATATTGTCATATATTGTGCTACTAATTCATTGTACATGGTTTATAAAATTGCTTTGTAGTGTTTTTCAGCTTAAAAGAACTTGTAAGTTAGAAAGCCATTCAAGAAATCAGAAAAATCACTGAGAAAATAAATCTTGCCTTATTCATTGTTTTCTTAAGCATAATCTCCACACAGAAGAATTGAATAAACCAGAAAATGAATATTTTTTTCCTTTTCTCTCTTTCCTACAAAGCATTATTATGCTGTTTCCCAGCTAGACATGCATGTGAACAGCGTGATTGTGAATGGGACTAAAATAAAACACTTAGTGCTTGATTAATATTAGGTATGCCTCTTGGGATTTGTTTAGTCACTGATTCCTTGACACACACCTCCAGTAACTTTATAAAAAGAACAAACCACACTTTCTGTATAAGATGCAGTAACACATTACTTATTCCAGAACTACTTCCATGGCAACCTCTACTACAGAACACAACTAAGAACTTGGACACAAGCCAAGTGTCTCCTGAGCACCCAAAATAGATGTCACTGTGTCTATGTCCTTTGGCACATGCACGTTTCTCATAAGAGAATCTCTTGGACCCTCAGATAAAGTTATTGCCTCTTATTCGTCCATAATTTTTTATAAACTTGTTCATTTTCTGGTGTTCTTGCTCCCAGCACAAAATAATCATGAAGAGGTTGTTGAGGTTGAAGGAAGTTATTAGAGATATGCAAACTGTCTACACCAGTAAGTAAAGAAGTCACTCTTCAATATGGAAGGTGGACACAGGAGGAAAAAAAAAGTCCTATAAAAATAATACAAGAATTAAAAAAAGGCTGGGCGCAGTGGCTCACGTTTGTAATCCCAGCACTTTGGGAGGCCGAGGTGGGTGGATCATGAGGTCAGCAGTTCAAGACCAGCGTGGCCAACATGGTGAAACCCCATCTCTACCAAAATTACAAAAATTAGCCAGGCATGGTGGCAGGCCCCTGTAATCCCAGCTACTCTGGAGGCTGAGGCAGGAGAATCACTTGAATCCAGGAGGTGGAGGTTGCAGTGAGCCAAGAGCGTGCCATTGCACTCCAGCCTGGGCGACAGAGCAAGACTCCATCTCAAAAAAATAAAACTAAAAAATAAAAAATAAACAGTGATTATGTGACCATTTGATCTAAGAATTAATAGCCTTATATACCATGCAATGTATTACTGCATTATAGAAAAATTCTATAATATGTATCCATGAGTAATACTGAGAAATTAAGGGAACATTAAATTGCATTTAGTCCCCTCCAGAGAGAGCTCAAAACATATAGTGGATCTCATGAAGAGAATGATCCACAAGTGGCTAAATTCTTTGAAAAGCTTTTCAAGTTTTCAGTGGTAAAAGTTTACTTTTTAAACTTCACTTTATGGAAAATTCACATATATTGAAACCCTTAATGTTCTCCATTGTTGTTTTATTGGCCAGCAGCAAATATTATATACCAGCTAGCCAGGGCCTCGGGGAAAGAGTGACACCTGGAATGCTAGGGTACACAGGGATTTTTTTCTGTGCCGCATTGGGCTATTCCCCTTCTGCTCTGGAAGACCCTCTATGGATCGGTGACTTGAAATCTTTTTGAAAATTTCACTCTTCTTAGAAATGTTCCTCCATTAAGGTGAATGAGCTTACACTAAGATAAGCTTCATTAAAAAAAGAAAAGTAGGCTTATTAGAATTTTTTTAAAAAATAATGAATAAAGAGAAGGAAGGATTAAAATTAACAGCTAAATATAGAAGCAAACTGGAGGCAAAAACCCCAATTCAAAATAACTGTGTTTCCCAGGTCAGATCTACCAAGCTGTGATGAGTTTAGTGAGCCTTGACTGAATCAGTTAAAGTGCCTAGACTGCCCTGCCCAGGTTCTCTTGTCTGATTGGCTCCATATTAGTTCTATATTTCAAGTTGAAGATTCATTAAGCTCCCCCTCCTGCCCAGTCAAGAACATTCTGTACATTTTGTAATGCTAAAGTATATTTATCTTTATCCAACACAAGCAATAAAACACAAAAACCACACATGACAAGATACAACAAAGAAACAAACCTAAACTAAGCTTTAAAATAAAACAACAGCAACAATCATCTGGTTCCTAAAAACACTAACAAAACAAAGCAAAATCCGAGTAGTTTCAAATATCAACAGCCAGAAAATAATACAGTTAAAAAGCTAAAATATTTTCAAGGGTATATTTTCTCTCAAAATAGAGGTGAAGAGGGAGGAAAAAAAGGTCAAATGACCACTAAATACTTGTCCCCAAAACAAATGAACCCTGAAGATTTAAATGAGTAAAAACAGTACCTTATAAGTCACTGGTCTGGTCTACGCACAGCTGTTCCCAGTGCCGACTCTTGTTTAACTGTCCACTGCCTTCAGTTTAAAGTTAATTCTTTTGGCAAAAAAGTACAGAGCTTGTCTGGAAAATGCTGTTTGGACACAAACCATTCCTTTCAAAGCGGTGGTAGCTATATTTAAGTTTTCTTGTAGAAGGGGATATAAACTCTTCCTGTAGCTAATTTTCTTTCTCCTCCTTCTCAGACTTAGTCAGTATCCTCCCATCCCATATATTGAAGAAAGAGACAGAGAGGGGAAAAAAAACCTACAAGGAAATATACCTTAAATAATGTAGTATTTGAGCATTTAGAAACAAAACAAAACAAAATAAGAAATAGGAATCATAGAAAGCTCATCAGGACCTTAAATATAATTTAGCCGGGTGAACCCATTTTGTAGATAAGGGAAGTGAAACCCAGAGAAAAATATGATTTGTATAAGGTCACTCACACGGCTAGTTAGTGCCACAGTTAACAAATAACCAGGTTTCACAACTCCTGCTTCAATGCTTTTTCCACTACACTAACATACCTGAGGGGAAATAGTTTGCCTTTTCCTCTATATCCTTGCATAATAAGCAAAGGAATTGGCAGGGAGCAGTAACACAATTAGGATGTGAGAACTGTCTCAGAGAAAACATTTCCTTTGGATTTAAAATCCTTAATATTGAAACTTTCCCTTTAATCTCCAATTTCTTTGTATATTAGGAAATAATCTTTTCCTTTGCTGATTGTCCAGAATATTTTTACAACTCAGGAGCTGCCATGTTTCAAGGGATGCTAACATTTATTAGTCCTTACAGAGTACTGCTTCAGTAAGGCATGGTGCTGTGACAGGTGGCAGAATAAGTGTTCTACCTAGTATCAGTGATACTACTCCACGGCTCTTAAACTAGACACACATTTGCTATTATCACAAATCCCCACTTTCAATCTATCAAGATTTTTTGAATACACACATTTGGTTTTGATTATTGTTGATTGTATAATTTGTTAAATAAAACAGAGAAGCAACATAACAATTTTCATTGGTGTCTTTCATGTATTTCCTATTTATTGGTGAATAAATTATGTTTTTCTAACTGAAAGAGTGATGTGCTTATTATAATAATTTTTAAAATTACCTTTTTGAAATGTATTCATTCATTCATTCACTTATTTAACAAATATTTATCGAACATTCATAAGATCTATCTCATCCCTCCCACGTGAAATAGTGTAACAGACAAGCAATAGCTTCCTTAGAAAAGTAGGGAATTTTCAAATAAAATCAAAGGGTTTGCATGGGAAGTAAGGTCAATTCTCTATGACTACTTCTGTATTCATTCTCACACTTCAAACATGTGTCCTTGATTTCTTTATATCCTATCGATTGGGTTGCTCCAATCTTAAAACATCCTGCCCAGATCAAGTAAACCAAAATATGAAGTGGCCCACACTGAAATCACTCTGGCCACTATTAATCTTTCCATTTGATCTGGCTCCTTAAATTTTAAAGCAAAATCTTCTTTACACTTTGCAATTCCAAGACACAATGAGAAATGCTCAGATCATTCAAGGCCTATTTTCAAACTGTTACCTATTCTTTAATTCAGAAATGCACTGTTTGGTTTTAATATTTCTCGTCTACTTTTAAGGCATCTACTCTTGCCCTGTTCTTTGGCAGGAAGCAGTATGCTTATGACCAAATAATTATAAAATGTAATTAATATTTAAAATGACAATTAGATTTTCTGGAACACATTTTCCAAAATGTTGAGAAATTAATGGGTATGATAGCACTTTTCTAATGCTGACAAATAAGCAACTGAGATTCAAAACAGAAATGTTGAGAAAGAAATTTTGGAAAACCATGGTTTTTGACACAATGACAGCATCTTATTTTCCTTTTATTCTCATTTGATTATGTCTGTTTGAGCCCTATGCAAAGGTTAAGCAACATTAATATGTCAAATGTGACAAGAGTTGGACACATTGATACATATTACTTGCATTTGCTAAAAATATTCTGTATTTTCCTTTTACTTCTTAAGCTTTACTTTCGATATTGACAGTTTTACCTTTAGTCCATTAGAAAGAGCAGGAAGGAAATATGAGTAAGACCTTGTAAGGTAATAGGCCTTGAGGAGACATAGAGTTTTACATGGAATGAGTCAAGGTGATTCAGAGGGTTAAATGGCTGCAGGAAGGAAGGAAAGAGTGAAGAGAAGTCACAGATTGTTTAGAACAGGAGTGGGCTGAGCCATAGACAATAGATTATGGGTATTGAATTCAAGAACCAAAGTCTCCTAAAATAGGCTAAACAAAGAAGGAACTAGCAATTTTGGTGACCAGTGAAAGCAATAGGAAATTGGCCTTCAAACCTACTTCAAAATCCATGGAATGGCTCATCTCTACCCATTGGAAGGGAAGCATGTGCTGTCAATATGTGATCCAATACAATCTAAAACGGCACAACATTTTTGCAACCATTTTTAAAACTGGTGTTCTGCTCTATTTAGGGTCCTGGGACACACTCCAGGTTGCCCTACTCTGGGAATGCTCTGAATTTCAGAATACTAGTGTAGTTTAGTGGGGAATACTCACTGTATTTTGAAGATTTGCCCTGTGGTGTTGAATTTCACTGATGGAAGAAATATTTCCAGCAGAGGTGAACTCCAGGGCAGGCTATATTAACACAGGCAAGGCAGTCGGAATTCTCTAACTCTTGATCTCCTCCTCTCAGTTTTCAGGTTTATAGTAACACTAGAAGAAGGCTTTTACTAAGAAATCCCAGAGAGCTCTTTGGTGATAGCAGTGAAGGGTAGTGACTGCATGAACAGCTACTAGATTCTAATATTCTATGCTTGGGGGCAGATTTCATGCATGGAAGTTTTTAACAGTTTTAAGAAACTGACACACATAAAAATCTCAAGCATCAACTCTCTTAAGCCAATTCCAGCACATACGTACACCTCTCACAGTTCATTCTCCTCAGAGAACCAGAATCATCATTCCCCTCCTTATACCCATGATTTCTCATCTTTCCCATCATTCCCCTGCTTCACTGTTGAACAATTTCCCATGATTACTCTCCTTCATTCCTTCCAGTGGTTTTCCATTATTCTCTTGCTTTGCATTGTCCAGTGATTTCCCATAATTCCCCTGCTTCAGCCCTACTACAATCTCCCATTGCCCTCAGTATAAATCCAAATGCCTAACCATGGCCTCCTATGTACTACATGATTTAGCTTCAGTTTATCTTTCCTACTGATATGGTTTGGCTGTGTCCCCAACCAAATCTCATCTTGAATTGTAGCTCCATAATTCCCAGGTGTTGTGGGAGGGACCCAGTGGGAGATAACTGAATCATGGGGACAGTTTCCCCCATACTGTTCTCATGGTAGTGAACAAGTCTCACGAGATCTGATGGTTTTATAAGGGGGAACCCCTTTCACTTGGTTCTCATTCTATCTTGCCTGCTGCCATGTAAGATGTGCCTTTAACCTTCCGTCATGATTGTGAGGCCTCCCTAGCCAATGGAACTGTGAGTCCATTAAACCTCTTTTTCTTTATAAATTACCCAGTCTCAGGTAAGTCTTTATCAGCAGCATGAAAATGGACTAATACACCTACCGAATTTCCTAACCTGCTATCACATCTGTGTGGGATGCTCCTCCCTCATATTTTCACAGAATGATCTTCTCATCATTCAGGATGATGCTACCAAATGCCACCTCCTCAGAAAGAAGATTTCCCGACCACTCTGGTTAAGCATCCTCCCACCCACATATACCCTCTATCCCATTTCCCCATTTTAATTTTCTTTCATAGCCCTTTCCATGTCTGAAATGATCTTTTGTTCTTCCTTACTTATTATCCATTTTAGTAGTCAGTTGAACCATGTTTGCTATGTCTCCTCTAGAATAAGTTTTATCAAATCAGAAAGATATCACGATATATAAATAAGATTAGAAACCTAAGATTTAGGCTTTTTGAACCACATTGCTCTTAGTGTTCAGAACAGTATCTAGTATAAAACAGGCATTTGACAAATATTTCTTTAATGAATTAATTATACTTTCTGCATGAGCTACTATTCTTCTGTCAACAAACATCTAACTTAAGTCCATAAACATGAAGGCAAAATCTAATCTACTTCTGCAATTGACTTAACACTGCAAATCTCCCCTTGGCTCCAGCAGCTAGGAATGACAGGAAATGAGGAAAGAGCCCCAGCTGGGCCCTAAGTAGTTGTATCTACATAAGATACCTGTAACCTTTCGAATTGTATTAACACAAAGGCCAGATAATATCTTGACTTGCCAGAATATCGTCTGTGGATATATGTACCTAACTAGATATGTGATTACATTTGCTAGAGGTCCTAAGAGCTTCCGGAAATCTCTTTCATTTCCTGAATGCTGCAGTAGTTTTTCTTATTGAAACAGCAGATAGCCTAGAGCTAATTCTATCCTTTCCAGGTGGTTTTAAGAAGTTGCCCTCACCTGCCAACTCTTGCGAGCAAAGGCTAAATCTTTGCATTTGCAACATATGTTTTCTAAATGAAAAGGAGGGAGACCAAATAATTTTGGAGAGGTGAGCTCAAAGATAATTAAATCTCCCATCCAAGCTCTGCTGCACACTCTTTCAGAGCCCTCCAGTGAGCTGTAAATTAGATTTCCTCTCCTGTCTCATGTCCTACTGCTTCCTAATTACCTGTTCTAGTGAGTCAGCCTCTCTGGGTCCTGGGACTCAAACATATTGTTGGATAATGTGACTGGCTCACTACACTTCAAGTACGGCCACATCAGAGAGGTGGCCATGTGACAGCAAGATAGGGAGAGGGTGATTCTTTGTTAGGAAGAGAATGGCTTTCCCTAAGTGCCATGACAGCCCTCCTTCCAGGACAACCAGGGAGAGGGAATTTCTTGCCTGAGCACTGGTGTCACTCAGAGGCAAATAACTTCATTCAAAGTCATTAAAACAAAAAGTGCTCTTTTCCTATTGTATTGACTATACATTAATCTACATATATAAGTGGCATTTATTTCATTAGTGGATCAAAGCTAAAATATTTATTAATTGTCTCTGTGGACAAGGCCTTGTGCTAGGTTATGAAGTTTTTGTAATAATTTCTTGTTATCTCATTGATGATAATATTTCTTATTCAGAATAGAAATTTCCCCAGGAAAATAAAGTAAAAATTCTTTTCTTCTTCCTTGAATTTATTGACGTGCCTATATTTGTTGAGCCCATATAATGTGCCAAATGCTTGGGTACAAAGAAGAAGACTAACTCTTGCCTCAGAAATGGAGGTGGGAGACATTTACAGACTATTGTGGAGGTAAGCACTGCTTTACAGGAGAGCATGGAAGCAGCAGGGAATCAAGACAGGAAGTAACCAAGGAAGGCTGCCTTGAGGAGATAGAACCAAAATACAATTTGAATGCAGAAGGAGAGGATTAACATTCCAAGTAGGAGATAGAGTACACTTGGGTTACTTCAAGTAGTTATATAGAGCTGGCATGTGGAATGAAAAACCAAGACTGATGGATAAAGTATGCAGAAAGGAAGACAGGCAAAAGCCAGGCTCAGGAATTTGGTTTTTATCCTCAAGGAAATGGGTATCCATTGAAAGATTTTAAATAAGAGATATTATGGTTTTAGAATACTAAGTGAAGAGAAAATTCTGGGACAGGTCGTCTAAAGGACTATGACATTTCTATGTATAAGTAAGATACTGTGATAGTCTGAAATTAGGCATGAAGGACAGAGAGAAAGAGAGAGATGGCCCTAAAGTATATTTTAAAATTACTACAGGTAGGAAGATGTTAGAAGGCAAACTTACTCCAATATCTCCATATAATAATTACAGAAAAATATCAGTGGTATTTTATAAGAATTGATTATGTAAAAGACATTTTTCATACATTCTATTTGCAGACGAGGAAACTGAGGCATATAACTGAAAAGACTGATCGCACAATTTGAAATCACATTCATCTGTCTATGAGGCGCATATACTTTATACTAAACTGCCTGTCTCTTTGAGGGCAGCATACATTTTGGACATTTTCAAAACTTGGACATTGGGTGACTAGACTCAAAGACATTGTTTAGAATATAATTTGGCAATATCTTAGGAAATTTCATGGGCAGAAAATTAGGTTTCCTAGGCATCAGCATGTCCAAATATGAGATTCAATACATAAACAATTGTATTTGCATGGTTTCTATGGAACTACATGTTTAGCTACTTTGCAAAGTACAAATCTTTCATCAAATTCCTCTTGATAATCTAATTATCTTCATGTCTGGAAGACTTATTCACACACTATACTAGGACAGCCAGTGGAAACGAGAATGAAAGTCAACTTGGCAGATACCCTAGTTCCATCAAGTCAAATATTGAGTTTTGAGCTACATGGAGTTTGAAGGCTAACTCAGTTTCAATGAATCTAGGAAGGCAAGAGGTAAAACTAAGACATTGAATACAGAAAGGGGCAGATACAGCTCAAACAAGAGAAAATGCCGAGATTTGTTTTAAAGTTGGAATAGGAAAATTCCTTCTCTAACATATTTTATACCCCCTGTGGATGACCCTATACCTTACTGTCTAAATCTTGACTTTCTGAGAGTAAGAGGAGGCACTGCTGTTAATGACAATTAGATTGGAGATAAAATCCAAGACTCTTACAGGCAAACTTGGACACATGTCACCCTACCTATGAAGTGGGAATTAATACTGACCTAAAGACGATGATAGTATCAAGAACGAGGTCACGGGCTTTAGAGCAACTAGCTCCTAAGTCAGGAGATTCTTACACAATTTGGACACATTGCTCAATAGTCAATAATAAAGGCCAGATTAATAAACTATTTGTAATATTTTATTAATTATTTTAGTGCCACAGTTTATTTTTATTTAAAAATGGTATAGAACAACCAGGCACAGTGGCTCACATCTGTAATCCCAGCACTTTGGCAGGCCAAGGTGGGTGGATCACTTAAGGTCAGGAGTTCAAGACCAGCCTGGTCAACATAATGAAACCCTGTCTCTACTAAAAATATAAAATTAGCTGGGTGTGTTGGTGCGCACCCGTAGTCCCACATACTTGGGAGGCTGAGGCAGGAGAATCACTTGAACCCGGGAGGCAGAGGTTGCAGTAAGCTGGGATTGTGCCACTGCACTCAAGCCTGGGCAACAAAGTGAGACTCCATTTCAAAAAACAAAACAAGGACAAAAACAAACAAACAAAAAAAGAGGTATAGAACAATGCAAAATGTTGAGGCTTCTCTTTTAGAAGACATTCACAGATAATGGGCTGTGATGGTTAATTATATGTGTAAACTTGACTGGGTCTAGTGATGCTCAGATAGCTGGTAAAACATTATTTCTGATTGTGCCTGTGACTGTGTTTCCAGAAGTCGTTAGCCTTCGAATCAGGAGACTGAGTAAAGAAGATGGCCCTCACCTATGTGAGTGGGCATAATGCAATCTGCCGAGGACATGAATAGAACAACAGGCAGAGGAAGGGTGAATTTACTTTGTCTGCTTTTGCTGGGACATTTATTTTCTCCTCTCAGACATTGGTACAACTGGTTCTCAGGCCCTCAGACTCAGACTGGGATTTACACCATTGGGTCCTCTGGTTCTCAGGCCTTCAGGCTTAGACTGGAACTATACCACTAGGTTTCCTGGGCTTTCAGCCTACAGAAGTTCATGGAACTTCTTAGCCACCATAATCATGTGAGCCAATCCCTCATAAGAAATCTCCTTCTATATATCTATATATCTCCTTTTGGTTTTGTTTCTCTAAAGAAGTCTGACTAATACACAGATATAGTGTGTAGTCTCCCATATAAAAGAACATATTTGCAAACACCATGGCTATGAAATATAAAGCTATTGGTAGTAGATGGGGACCCCCAAGCTATTTTGATTATTTAAAAAATAAGCACAGGCTTTATTTCTTCATTGTGTTCAATGTAACCATTAGTAAGTCAATATTAATGAACACCCAACTAAATCAAATCTCAGTTCACTCTCCTGCCCCACTCCTGCAACGTTCTCTGAGGTGAGGACATTCTTATATGGAAAGTTTCCTTACTGGGTTAGGCCAAGGTGAGGATGGGCACAGTGTGGAAAGCAAACATTCCCAGGTACAAACAGGAGAGATCAGCCAAAATTAATTAGGTTTCCAAACTTGGTTCTGTCAGCAACTAGCTGTTTGACCTTGGCCAAAACATTTCACTTTACAGAGACTTTGTTTTCTCCTATATAAAATAAGGGGATTTAGTAAGATTACTCTGAAGGTTCTTTCAGATGTGAAATTCAACTATTCTCTGAGATAATTATCTCCCGTATGTTTTAAATTTGCTGAAGGTTTATCCATCTTTGAGGATTGAGAGGATATCTGTTGTATTATAAAGAAATTAAAACAGGCAGTTATTGACAAAATAACTGTAATGGTAACAACAATAATTATTTCTAAGACTCCCAAGAAAACAAACCTAGGAAGTAGGGAGACATTTATTTTGTGAACAATAGGAGGACTATTGGAATTTTCTTAGGTGAGAAAGCATTGGATATAAAATGTGATACCATACTATGCTGAATAATTTTTAAATATTAAGCTTACTTGGGCTCCCAAACACACTGAGGATTAAGATTCTTGAGTTTATACAGAAGAAGATTTCTTCCAGAAGTGTAATTCCCCTACACTGTCATTTTTACAATAAGAGTGAATCCACATTTACAAGGTAGAATGTTGGAAATGAATAGAGGAGGCCCTTCCTTGGTCTGTATTCTTTGACAAGTTCCTAGACACACAAATGTGGTTCAGAAAATAATGAAAATAAATTGTCCATCAGTGCTGGGCTATTGGCCAATCCCAAGCTTCAGTGCAACCAAATATAAGAAAGTTGGACTATTTCCTTACATTTATTTTAATTCCTCTTCAATGGAAAGCAATATACATAAGTATATAAGTATATCATGTAAAATTTAAAGTTCCTACCCTTTCTACCCTCACCAATACTATTCTTAAGGATTAACCACTACTGGCCAGGCGCGGTGGCTCATGCCTGTAATCCCACCACTTTGGGAGGCCAAGGTGGGCAAATCACGAGGTCAAGAGTTCAAGACCAGCCTGGCTAACATGGTGAAACCCCGTCTCTACTAAAAATACAAAAAATTAGCTGGGCGTAGTGGCGGGCGCCTGTAATCCCAGCTACTTGGGATGCTGAGGCAGGAGAATCGCTTGCCCGGTGACAGAGTGAGACTCTGTTTAAAAAAAAAAGAAAAAAGAAAAGAAAGGAAGAAAGAAAAAAAGGATTAACCACTACTAACAATTTACTGTGTATCCATCGAGATATCAAGCTATCAATATCTATCCATATATATGTATAATTATACACACATATGTATATACACAAATGGGTTTTTGGAAAGAAAACATTATCTTTCTTTATTCCATTTTTTGCCATATTTACTAAACTTGTTGACATTTAAAAACAAGCAAACAAGCAACACAATAAATGTGTCTTCTTTTCCCACAAAAAAAATCTCCATCCTTAAACCCTCAGATTTAACTGTAAAACTTATCAGATGGTTAAGAAAAACAAGTGCAATGATACATTACTAAGAGTCAAGATGCTTGGCAAAATGACTACCTAATAAATGTTTACTGATTTGAATGAATGGATGAATCACACCAATGACCCTAATCTCATTAACCTGGGAGAAACTGCTAGGAAATAACCACATGTGAACTGACTTCCTTCATATCCATTCCTCTTTTTATCAAGTATTCAATCATCGCTTTTTTGAATGTCTTTTAATCACCGTTTTTTTCATAAGGATATGACTATTTCTAATATGAATACTATATTTTTCATCATCACTATTTGACCATTAAGCAATAAAAAGATCCTCATCCTTCATCATAAATTAGGCTCTGCAGTGTCTCTGTTATCATTCCAATCAACATTTGTGGGGTCTATTAATCCCAGTATCTTTGTTGAATTTACCTTATCTGAGACTAAGATATGTTAATATGTTTGATGTCAGTTTAATTTTTAGGTCCAGCAGGAGACCCTGAAAGGATAGAGGAGAAATTTTTCTCCCCTACACAAGTGATCTCATCTTTAGTTGTGTCTATCATTTTTTTTTTCAGATGGAATCTCACTCTGTTGCCCACGCTGGAGTGCAGTGGCACGATCTCAGCTCACTGCAACCTCTGCCTCCTGGGTTCAAGCGATTCTCCTACCTCAGCCTCTTAAGTAGCTGGGATACAGGCGTGCGCCACCACACCCGGCTAATTTTTGTATTTTTACAGGTGCGCGCCACCATGCCCGGCTAATTTTTGTGTTTTTAGTAGAGACAGGGTTTCACCATGTTGGTCAGGCTGGCCTTGAACTCCTGACCTCATGATCCACCTGCCTCAGCCTTTCAAAGTGCTGGGATTACAGGCCTGAGCCACCACGCCCAGCTATCATTCTTGATTTTATTTGTTAGATTTGAAAAGGCTTTTTTTCAGATTTTAATTTGCCTGCTCAACTCAGAAGCATTCTTTTCCTGCTGTATTATCACTCTGTCTTTGAGCTCATATATACTGATTTTATGGTTTCCTTAAGTCCTTATACAATGCACAGCATTGGGTACTTGTGGACGACTTTAGATTTTCACATTTTTTTAAATCCAATCTTTAGATTTTGAATAAAAAAATAAATCAAACTGTTACTTGCCATGCTATTTTCATTCACTCTCATCTTTCTTTTTAATTATTTTATTTTTATTGCTAACATTTTGCTATAACATGTTTGCAAGTTGTCACGCCAATTTATTTCTCTTTTCTCATGGTCAACACAGCAGCCGCATATAAACAGTCTATTTTTGTTCTGAGACTGTGAGGGCCAGTCTCTTTGACACCTTTCCCACCTTGGTAAAACACTGTTTATCTTTCAGAATGCCTCAAGATTTTCAAGTTTAGAGCAATTCCTTTCCCCAACAACCATTTCCAAAGGCCAAGCTATAAACAGAAGTTAATAGTGTACGCATTGTAGCATTATATATACAAACATGCACTCTATTCCCCAGTTTACACATCAGGATCATTTGGCAGACAAAAACAGGGTAACAGAGTTTAACTCTCACCAAGAATGTCATAGTTTGCTAAGAGCCTTTCTCTCTGCAATCATACATGATCCTTGTTAACATCAGCTAGAAAATATTCTGTTCTACCATGACTATAATATGCTACTGAAAATTTAAAACATTGTTTCTTTTTCTTTAATAATTTGCCCCTTTGGGGTAATCTATATGCCAAAGAACAGGTATCATTTTTCTTTTTCCTCCCTCCCAGGTACTCAGTTTGCTTTTGTTGTTGCTGTTGGGATGCTCTGTTCAAGTTTCCAGTGTTTATGGCTCATACAGACAACCCCTCTTCCTCTTCCACAGCAATTCCATAAAGCATGCTGTAATTTTAGGGTATGTAATAAAGGTGATGAAGCATTCACATGTGAATGTGTGAGGTGTATGTATGTCTCTCTGTGTGTATATATGTGTATGATGGTGACATAATACATACATAACCAACTACATCTAAAAAAGACATGTCCATATAAAAATGGTCAGTTGGCAGCAGTGCAATCTGGAGAGACATTTAAGTTTACTTATAATCAAAACATTAAAATATTATTACCTGAAGACTTCAGCTAGGAAGAATAAACACACATCATTTGCAACTATGGTCATACATTGCTTAACAATGGGGATGCATTATAATAAATGCAATTAGGCCACTTTACATTGTGTGAATGTTGCAGAGTATATTTATACAAACTTAGATAGTATAGCCTACTACACACGTGGGTTATGTGGTATAATCTATTGCTTCTAGTCTACAAACCTGTATAGCACTGTACTGAATACTGTAGGCAGTTGTAACACAATGGTAAATACTGTGTATCCAAACATATCTAAACATTGAAAAGACATAGTAAAAATACGGTATTATAATCTTATGGGAACAGTATCATATATGCAGTTTGTTGTTGACCAAAACATTGTTATGCAGTGCATGACTGTATTTGCTAAATATTAAAATTGTGAGAGTTTTTGTTTGACTCTGAGGAGGAGTGAAAGGCAGGTGAACCCAGTATAGTTTGTGGTTCTCAAGTTAGAGCTAGTAAATGACCTTAGTGATTTATTCTCAAGTGGGAAGCACTTGGCATAAAAGGGGAATTTTATATTTCCTCCTATTTATGCTTTCACCTCAGCAGATTTTTCATCTGTTTTTTTACATGCTGTTTTGTTGTTCACTGTCTTTAGTCTCCAAGGAACATGTGCATATTCTGCCAATAGATGTGGGGTCGTATTAGTCTTTAACATGCATAGGAATCACCTGGAAATCTGCTTAAACATGCAGATTCTGATTATGGCTCCAGGGTAGAGATCCAAGAATTTGAATTTCTAACAAGTTCCCAAGTGTTGCTGCTAGTGAATGGCAAAGATCTGGACACTAATAACCTAAAAAGAATAGTTCAATTTTAAAAACCTAGAGATGCTATGGCAGCTGAAGAGCAAGGAATTATTTTCATGTGTTAAGTTGCAAGACCTCTATGTAAGTACAGAAAATTCTCGACTCTTCTTTTAATATTGTTATGATTGTCTCCTTCTCTATCTTTTCTTTTTTATGTGCCAGTTTCTCTGATTGCCAGTCCCCGTACCCCATCTCTACTTCCTTCATCTATATAGAGAAGAATGGTTCAATCACAATATTCAGGATTAGGAAATAGGGTCATGATTTTGATGACTTTTCCTCCCCGGGCTCTAAATATTCTGATTTTGTATCACCTTGTTGATATTACCTTAGGCTGAAAGCAGATTGTGAAGTACAAGAAATCTGACTAATGATTAAGTGCAGTGGATAAACAGTTTCAAAATTTGTACCCCGTAATTCATAAGGGTGAAAATAAAATAAATTCCTGCTGGCAAAAAAATTTACAAAAAATCTAACAACACCCCAAAGCAAAAAACAACTATGCAATTGAGTGTAAATTTATTGTTCCTCGGCTTTCAGCCTTTATAACCAAAGAACTGTGCTGTATGTGAGATCTCGTGTTTTAAAATAGAGTGGGTATCACTGATTTTTATAAATGTACTTTTCATAGGAAAAGCTGGTCTCTGTCTTTGAAACCTAGAATTAGGGAGTATTTTTTCCATTTTCATGATAAACACTCATATCCATTCTTACTATTGCCATTACTTTCCATGGTTATTTTGTTACTTTTTATCCCTCTGAAACTTCAAGTAAGTAGTAATTTTTTATCTAATTATATTCTTTCTTAATATACCAGAAGCTTGTAAAGAGTAGTATATGCCTACAACTCTCTATTTAAACTACTATCATGCTTGGAGATGTAAGAAAATATATAAACCCTTTTCATGACTAATTATTTTTCCATATCACCCCCAAAATCTTTTTTATTACATGGACCTTAGTGAATCTTTCAACTCATTTTCCTTAGTGCTTATTGGGTAAACATTAATCATTCATCTTGAATCCATAGATCACACCTACATGCTCTAAGCTTAGTGTATGAATCAGTTAAAACAAAAACGTTTTAATGCCACTTGCAGGTGTGCTCTAATATTCTACTCACTGCACAATCCAATTCACAAACCATAAAATTATTTTCAAGTCAGGCTTACCATATTACGTTAAAACATACAATTTTAAGCAATAGCTACCTTTCACAAAACACACCTTTTTTTGTAGCATATCTAGTGTATTCAGCTGAAGAGTTTACTTTCATTTAAATATTAGTTTCAGGAATTAAAATGTAAAGTTTGATTCTTAGGCTAAATCATTCACTTAAAAAGTCAAACAAATGTTCCACTTCTATTGCATGGAAGCAGACACAGACAAACCTCAAAGTTAATATGCCATTTGGGCCAAAAATCTCTAGATAAGGTAAAAATCTCTAGATCTTCTCTATGATAACATATGCCTTTCAAGGGGCAAGGAACAAGTATACTGGTTTGTTTAAACATAAACACAGGCAGAATTAGTATAAACTTTCTGAATTGCAAATGCTAATAAGTAGTTGTATAATGAGAGATCTTTGAGAATTACAGTAACGAAGAGGAGATCTACTTAAGCCATACCAAAATTATTAATATAGAATGCCTCTTTCTTTCCTTGTGAGCATTCAGAAAGTGATCCCTCACCCAAATAGCTTTTGTTCATAGAAACAAAAGTCAGAAAATGTCCTTGGTTTCTCCTCTGTATTCACTGCTGGTAAAAAAAAACAATTACTCTGGGGGCTGAAGAAAAGGGGAGGAATGGACCTCCTGTTTCTGTAAACAGCTCAACACTAACAAAATCTCACATCTTGCTTCTCAATCAATACCAAGCTCAGTGGTTAAAAGAGCTGCATCAAACCTGTGTTTTATCTGGTTAATGATATCAATAAAGGTTATCTCTACAAAGAATGAAAAGGTCACTAATCAAATTGCAGTGACTCCATCACATTAATATTGCTTGGGAATGCGTTTTATTGATTGTTTAGTATTCCTGTGTAGAATCCCCTTCCTTTTAACGCATTGATGATAGCAGGGGAGAACAACAGTAAAATGTTGCCACACGAGAGCCCTCACACTATAGCAGATAGAAAAGCAGATCCCTTCAGCATCTCTCTTTATGATAATAAATTTAAAATTGAGTATGAAGAGGTAAAAATAAAAATTGGAGAAAAGAAAATTTGGCTTAGAGATTTCTTGGTGGTAAAAGGAAACCATCAATAAATTCTTCCAGAAACTCTCATTGTTAGTAAACTCCTTGGTATTCAGCATGACATGTGATGCTAAATTATACATATGTATATTTGAAAATCTACTTTCTTACAGATCTTACATTTTTTGGGAGAGATGGAAAATTAACATTAAAAATAAAGTATGATATGTACATTGATATTAAAAATATAGGATGCTGACTTTTGGATTTTATGTACAATGTTAATGTAAATATCAATTCTGTTTATTGCTGCTTTTGCATTTTGTGAAAGCCTTCATTGTGAAGGACTCTAGTTCTTGTATGCCTGGTAAGAAAGCATACATTTGTGATTGCTTGGATGGTATTTATTAGTACATCATATACTTCTGAAAACTCAAGACTGTTACTCCATCATTATTATTTCAGTAAAGTATTTGAAACATGTTCACTCTTCAAAATAAAGAAATAAATGAATTACTAGTAATATTTTGGGAGAAGTATTTGAAACATTTTCACTCTTCAAAATAAAGAAATAAATGAATAAAGAAACAAACCAAAAAATAAATGAATAAGTAATTCCAGACACCCCCCTTTGCCTCTGAAGGCTTTGGGCTCCTCTACATTCTTACTGGTTGGTAGTTTCATTCTGAACTTCCAATCCAGGCCTCGTCCTCATCTACCCTATCCCTTGCCTCTTGTTGTTGGTAGGTGTTCCCTCCCTATGGGACCTCAGTTATTCCAGTGGCACCAGGGTGGATCTAATGGCTTCCCTGCAAGATGCCAAACTAAGAGGTTTTATTACCTGGAAAATACAAGACACAGCTGTTTATGTAAGCGCCCCAGGCATCCTGGTTAATCATTCTTGCAAATAACATTAAATGGGATACAATTCTGATTGCTGCATTTGGTTTTTTGCCTAATATAAAAAAAATGGCCTAGTCACCTTAGCAGAAAGTCAGTGATTTCTCACAAATGATTGCTATATTTCATGCTTTTTCAGAGTTAAATAACAACACCAAATTATTTCACTTCGAATAGTAGCTTCCTGCAACTATAAAATATAAGAATCAGGCAGTGGATATATATCCAAAATACTAATACAATGTATTGAAGATGCAAAAAATGGTAAAATGGTGCTTTTAAAAATGTTTCATTTTAGATAATAATAGGAAAATCAATAGTCCAAAAGAAGACTTAAGCTATTGTGTCACTAAATTTAAAATGTGTATTTGGAAACGAAATAATAGATTCTTTGTTTTATACCCTGTCATCTTGTTTTTCTTTTGTTAAAAGAAAGAAAATAGCATTTCTAAGCTTGTTGATCTTCACAGTTACGCTAGTTAAACCAACTGTATAGAGTAAATCTCTTTATTTTAGGCACAGGAGAGAATTCTTTACATAAGTGTAATAGGAAATTATTTCCTGTTGGGTCAGCCATTGGAGGAGCTTCTGGCCAGGACTTGGGGTTTGGAGTCAGACGGACCTGGAAGAATCCCAGCTCATTCACTCATGGGCTATGTGACCTTGGGCAAAGTTTTTAAACACTTTGTTTCCCCTCAATTTCCTATTTTTCAAGATAGAGCTATCTTTCTCACACATTTGTTTTAAAGAATGATTCAGCTAAAATACACAAATTGCTAAGCACAGTCACCTTTAAAACAACGCAGTTTTGTTAATAATAATATTTGTTAGCTTATGTTAATTAGGTTTGGTACAGAGTAGGTGGAGAAAATGGGAAGGCTGGCAGCAGGGCATGTGTTTTCCCTCTCCTGGATCTTGCTTCAATCGCTGTCTTTCCTTTCCTTCTCGTTCTCAAAGAAAAAGTATCATATGATTTTCTGTACATGAGCCAAATGCTTACAGAGTCAAATATTAATGTGCAAATGATGTAGCATGCTACAGGTTTTTAAAAATAAAAGTGAATGAAATTTCTTAATGATACTGATGGTTGCTCCGTAATGTAGCTTAGTATTTGGGCACTATTTTAAACAAATCATTCTTTCTTAAATAATGTTCTCTATTCACCCATAACCACATGACACTTCAAATGGAGAACTGAGTTTAAGTAGAATACTGAAGATGTGTCCACTGATGGGATGTATTTATACTTACTGGTGGTGCAATTTTACCATGGCCACTGGCCAACTGGCTGAGTTCTTAAAAAGTCAATATAAAGGCTGCGAGACATAAACAGGAACTTTGGGGAAGAAACAAAATAGGACTGTTGATCATAATACAGCGGTTACTATGGACTCAGTCTTCCTTCTCTCTGCAAGCACCTTAAAACCATTTGTTGGTTCAGTGAAAGCTGTGCTTTTCCCAGGAAAAGAACAGCCAGCATCCAGAAGGTTAAAGCGTTTGTAGTAACCTGAGGTAAAAAGACATCACCTCAGCTGCTGCACCTTGAGATAGCCACTGCTTCTGAAATTCACCTTCATTACATCTCACGGAAAACGTATAACATATATTTTAGGCATCTTTTTGAGTAATCTGAGTCTCCACCCTGTTCTCATACTGCATTCATTCTTCATTTGACCCACACATTGGAATCACATGATTTTCTCTTCCTTAAAATAAAAAAGTCTTCACCAATCTAGTCAGATTTCCAAATGTATTTCTTATTGGTTTCCCTTTAACCACTTTCACTCAGTTTTATCTTTCCCCTTCTCTTGATCGCTACTTCCAGCTTGGAGGAATCAATAGGAGAATTCACTCACATAAACCAAAGGCCAGTAAAGATTCCCATGCATTCCAATGGACTCTTTTAGGTGGATGCCAGTGAATGGTGAGAGATGAGATTGGGAGAGGAGAGCATTCTCAGCTACTGAGTCCACAGTGAAACTAAAGAGAAGCCATCGCAAGGCCTGGAGAACTATCTCTAGAAATATCTTGGCTGCACTGATGAGATTTTGGGCACGTATTTCTTTAACTGTGATAAAACATGAAATAACAAGAGAGAATCAAATTAGGAAGAACTCCAGCTATCTCCAAGGTGTTTGTGATCTGAAGCACTACTGGGGAGGTAATTGTGGCTGATGCACCACCACAAAAGATTGAGAACGTCTCCCTCCTGCAATAATCAGACTAATGTTTTCCTCATTACCATGTCTTCATTTTTCCTGTCGACAGTACAATGGCTGCAGAGGTCTCATTACTGTTTTCCATATTTATGTTTTAAATTATTGATAGGCTGTAGTAGGGCTGATATGTGACTGAAAACCAGCAGTGTCAGGTAGTTAAGAAATATTTTTCAGAGAGCCATTGGAACATAACACATGTGCATCTGTCAAGATTGGAAAGCAGAAAACATACATGAGACACAGTTGGGCTGTTCAATTTGTTAACTACGTGGGGCAAGTCAACTGTCTCCTGAATGCAATATGTAAGAATGGCTAAAGTGATAGGACTTGAACTCTTCCAAGCTCCGGGCCTTTTGGCTCCGGGCCTTCTGTTTTTTGGCTTCGGGCCTTCTGTTCTTCTTGCATCTTGTTATGATAGCAATTATGGTCCAAACAACATCATATGGCAATGATTTAATTGGCTCAAGTACTGCTCCAAAGGTAAGTGTCACAGACTTTTTGGTCCTATTCCCCACTTTTCCTGTTTGGAAGCAGATTACTCAAATAGCAGAAATAAAATGTCATTTCTGTTGCCATATGGGAAACTTAATGCTACAGTTAAAGAAAGACTCATGTAGAAAATTCTGTTTCTTAAACGTGGCATGTAAAATTCCATTGCAGTAAAAAAGAATGGCATTTCATATGGTTGAAACATTTACAAATAAGGAGCAAAAAACCAAAACTCATGACTCGGTCAGTCATAAAACATTTTCAAAACCTTGATATGTAATATTACTATAGATCTCAGGTTAATCAGCACATAGTGAACACTGAATAATATTTTAGCAATATTATAGAATATTAAAATAATGTAATCCTGAACCAGTTAAACTAGACTTCGTTTCAGTTAGGCCAATGTTTAGGTTTTGTTTTTTATTACTTGGGATTAAAATCAGATGTCTCATTGAAATAACTTTGTGTTGTTTAAATTAAAGAATAAATGGAATTAAACATTTTAACATGTCATTTAGTAAATCTGATTTTTTTTCTTCAGAAGAAATAAGGAAAAAAAGTTCATTTGATTTTTACCAAATGAAACCAAAACCCCACAGCTATCTGTAACATTTTGGAACTGTGAGTTAATGAGACACGTTTTCTTCCCATCTTTAAGTCCTCTTGTCTCCATCTCTGAGTTGACTACTGAGCCTTGAAAATGGAGATGAATTGTCTTTGTTCACATCCTAAGTGGTTGCAACATACAAGGTTTTTTGAAGGGAGAAATTTTCCTTCATTCCAAGAATTGATAAAGCCTGCTGAGAGTTTCAAGCTAACAATCAACTTGTTCCCCCTTTAATGTCTGTTTCATGTACCACCCTTCTTTCCATTCCCACTGCCACTGTCCTTTTACACAGCCTAATTTCCCCAGACCTGGACAATTTCGCCTACTTTCTAACACGTCCTTGCCTCCAGTCTCAGCCTCAGTCCTATAGACAGAGAAACTATCCTCAAGTGCAATTCTGATCATGTGACTCGGTGTGGATACCTGCCAAAGTGATTGCTGAGTAAGTTTCAACCCACCCCCCTAGACTCTGCATAAAGTCTTTTATAATCTGAGTTCAATTTCTTTGCCAATATTACAGCCATCAGTCCTCCTTCTCTAATCAAGGTGGTATTGACTAATTATTCTCTTCCTTTTTGCTAGCATATTTTCACAACTTTGCTGGTAAAAATCCTATCTATATTTTGAGGGCTGGTTCAGGTGCCATTTTCTCCATTAAGTCTTTCCTGGTTCTTCTGGCAAAAAGTAATTTCTCCCTTCTTTATGTTCCTCTAACATTTGGTTATACCTTTCTTCTACAGTCATTATTAAATTCTTTCTCCTAAAGTTATTATTGTATGATTTCACTGTTTGTGATTTGAATGCAAGGGGTCCCCAGATGATACATAGGGAAAAACTAAAATTGAGATTAATATTTTTCCAGCAGTATTAGGGATAAAAGCAAGATTCTACAATGTTATTTTGTATTTGTCTTCATTGAACATCTGATAATCAAATTTGGGAATTAAAGTGCAATTTTTTTTCTGTTAATTGTAAGCTGAGTTATACAGTTCATGCTGTCCTGTGAGATACATTCAAAGAAGTAGCGTAACGATAAAAAGGATAATAATATAGTTTTCATATTCAAGCCTCATCAGCAAAACTATAGCAACTTCTGAATGCTAAGCCTCTCTTTTCCTTGGAACGGTCCTGGGGTGATTTACGCATCATTTTCCTTAACAGTTCTTAATATTCTCCTCTTCCAAAGACTTTGATATGTATGCCTTTGATGCTCACTGTGTGGTGCATGAAGATTTGAACCACTCTTCTCTTTTGTCTTCATCTTGTCCTTGCCACCTTCCACAAGGTTGTTCCTCCTTATGATGTCTCGCGAAGTCCTTCCCCTTGTCCATCTTCCCACTTGCCTTCCTCCAACGCACCCATGTGCAATGAGGTGCCAGGATCATCTCTTTTAAAAGCATAAAACTGCAAAACATGATGCTTACAACCTCTTGCCCAAATTTCCTTAGGAGACAATATCAGAAGGTAATGAGAGTGATATTCCTCCCTGCAAACATGCAACCTATAAGGAGCTGGGGGACTTCAGCTCCTCATGAGCTGGAGTTGAGCACCTCCTTACCTGCCATCTATTGTCTACAAGTCACCCCTGCTTACTAGAGAGGTTGCATCACTATCCCTCATTTCTCACTGCTGGTCTTTAGGCCTTCTCTCCTAACATCCACTCACAGGTGGCTTGATTCCTCGCATGGGCATACACGATAGGCTCCCTTTGAGGACCCTCACTCTTGTAGGTACACGGCTATCTTCAGGAAGATAACTGATACGTTCCTTGGCATTGACAGTCTCCTCTCATTATACTAGTAGGTTATATTTGTCTTTTATTTCAGTTTTGGTGAAACACACATACTTACAAGCATAGATCACTGACGCCATTGTATTTTTGACAGAAGTAGTAGGGAATACGCTTTTAAAACCATTAGGCTTTTTTTTCCCCCTTCTTCTTCCAAAGCACATAATATAGCCCAGAAAGTTCCTAAAGAATTGGTTGCATTAGCCAACAGACACGTGAAAAAATGCTCATCATCACTGGCCATCAGAGAAATGTAAATCAAAACCACAATGAGATACCATCTCATACCAGTTAGAATGGCGATCATTAAAAAGTCAGGAAACAACAGGTGCTGGAGAGGATGTGGAGAAATAGGAGCACTTTTACACTGTTGGTGGGACTGTAAACCAGTTCAGACATTGTGGAAGACAGTATGGTGATTCCTCAAGGATCTAGAACTAGAAGTACCATTTGACTCAGCAATCCCATTACTGGGTATATACCCAAAGGACTATAAATCATGCTGCTATAAAGACACATGCACACGTATGTTTATTGCGGCACTATTCGCAATAGCAAAGACTTGGAACCAACCCAAATGTCCATTAATGATAGGCTGGGTTAAGAAAATGTGGCACATATACACCATGGAATACTATGCAGCCATAAAAAAGGATGAGTTCATGTCCTTTGTAGGGACATGGATGAAGCTGGAAACCATCATTCTCAGCAAACTATTGCAAGGAAAGAAAACCAAACACTGCAAATTCTCACTCATAGCTGGGAATTGAACAATGAGAACACTTGGACACAGGGTGGGGAACATCACACACCGGGGTCTGTCGTGGGGTTGCGGGAGAGGGGAGGGATAGCATTAGGAGAAATACCTAATGTAAATGACGAGTTAATGGGTGCAGCACACCAACATGGCACATGCATACATATGTAACAAACCTGCATGTTCTGCACATGTACCCTAGAACTTAGTTTAATTAAAAAAAAAAAAAAAAAGAATTGGTTGCATTGACCCCTTGCTGCCCTCTAGTGAGTGTCTGGTATATCCCCCAGTGTTCCAATCAGGATGAAAGTAGACTTGGGTAAAGACGGAGATGGCCTGGCCCAAATGTGCTATAATTGACTCATTACAGGCTCAGAAAGATTATCTGGCCTCTAGAGAAATACTGTGCTCCAGAAACCAGACACTGTGCTACTCTGGTCAGAAAACAAAAATAAAGATGAAAAAACAGTTTTGAAACACAGTTAAGATTACTCGGGGCTCCAATAAATACCCAGAGATAAATTTATTCTTTGACTATTGCTATAGGATTAGAGCCAGTCCAGCCAAGGGCTTCCACTATCCTAGTCTTAATTCAAACTCCCTTGGTCAACACGGGGCTTTGGAATTATACTGCAGATCAATAAACCAGCTCCTGAGCCCCAGGGGTCAGCAAAACACACCCAACTGCAGGAGCCGAAACACCTTGCCAGAGAGGCAAACAATACACAAATGGTGGCAAAGGGTTTGACACTGTCTTAGGTGTGACTTAGGAGAATTTTTCTCTGAACAGTATCAAGACTTTCTTAACTCAAAGGCATTGAAGTCACTGAAATGTTTCAAGTCATTGGAAAAAAAAAGATACAGAGATGAACTTGCTTAGCATCTTGACTTATATTTTTAAAGCTTCTCATTTTTTACTATGAAACTCTGATTCTTATACTTTTTGGAAATGAAGAACTAGATTCTGAAAGTCCTTTTGTAATAAATAGAAGAGAGTACTAGTTACTAATGCCCTAAAATTATATTATGATCAAAAAGTTTTGAGATCAGGAATTTCAGCATTTTGAAGTCCAGTGTCAAATGTTAAAGTTCTGATTTTTATAAGGTAAATTAGGCATGGATCATAATGTCCAGTTCCTAAAAATGTATTCTTTCTTGATTAAATGTATAGAACAGCTTACATAATTGCAATTATTTTGTATTTGTGTGGAACATTTAGTTTAATCAGCTACTTTATTAACTATTAAGAAACAATCAAATGGGCATGAATGTATTATATCATCTGTTGTAATCTATTGTAAGATATGTATCCTCAACGTATTGATACATCAATACATACATTGATACATAATGATACATACATTACAATACATTGATGATCAATGTATTGTATCATCTATTATAATCTTAAACATTATTGCATTTCTTAGAAGCTTATCTTTTGCTAGAGGGGGACATGAACAATAGCCTGATGTTACCAATCACAATTGGTATAAAAGAATAGAAACTTTCCAGGCCTAGCGCGGTGGCTCACGCCTGTACTCCCAGCACTTTGGGAGGCCCAGGCGGGCAGATCACCTGAAGTCAGGAGTTCGAGACCAGCCTGACCAACATGGTGAAACCCCGTCTCTACTAAAAATACAAAAATTAGCCAGACGTAGTGGCGGGCGCCTGTAATCCCAGCTACTCAGGACGCTGAGGCAGGAGAATCACTTGACCCTGGGAGGCAGAGGTTGTAGTGAGCCGAGATCACGCCATTGCACTCCAGCCTGGGCAACAGAACGAGACTCCGTCTCAAAACAAAACAAAACAAAACAAAACAAAAGAATAGAAGCTTCCCATAGAACAAGATTCCCTCCACCCTTAGGTCAGTAGCTGAAGCAGTGGTGACAGCTGAGGGAATATTTTCACTTTCCAATAAAATTAAGGAAGAAAACATGCTCTTCAGTCACTGAAGAATTTGGGGTTGTGAAATCAGTGTGTGATTGTCGTTTGATGTGTTGCGACACTCATGTGCTGGAGATGAGCACCTCCTTACCTGCCATCTCTTGTCTACAAGTGTAGGGGTATCTAAATTCTGGTGTCTAACCTCATGTACACTTAGAAATACATTTCACTGAGATAAGGAATGGACTTCTCTACAATAGACCTTCACCTACAGGATGTAGGCAAATTAGTTAGCATGAAGGGAGAATTGTCCCCATAAGTACACTGGGATGGTAAATAAGAAAAAAAAGTTACATTTTATGATTCAAGAAAAAAATGTCAACTAACCTCACAGAAAATTGGAATGGAAAAATCACTTCCCAGTATTTTTCTGTCCAAATTTACGCAACAGGTTCCTTCACTTATTTCTTTCAGGGCCTAATATAGGGTTTGTGACACAAAGATACATTCTTTGTCCTCAGAAAGCTTGCAGAACTTATAGAGGCAATCTATACTGAGGCCTTGCATCTGAATAGCACTTTTTAGCTACAGGGATCCTTCACACGCTTCGCCTAATCTGATTTTGTAACAACCCGGGGAGGTAGACAGGACAGAAATAATCATCCCAATTTTATAAACTTGTAAACAGAGGAACCAAAAAATTAAGGGACTTGCTCAGTGTCGCATGATAACAACAGTTTCATCCAGGACTAAATTCAGTTCTTCTGATCTAAGTTCATGCCCTTTCCAATATTTCTGGCTGCTTGTAGTATTTGGCAGATGTTCAAGCCTTTTACCAATTGCTCTTCCTGGTCTTTATAAATTGTCAAGAACCAAACTTAGACATTCCTCACTCACTGGAATTTAAAATTCTGTGTCTAAGAAGTATTGAATTCTTCATGAATTCCCAGAATTCTAAGTGGGACCTTTAAAATTGTGTTGTCTGTCGTATGTATCTTTATCTCTTCTCTGAGGACTATTTCAATCTGTGTCTTTCCATAGAAGAGTCTGAGAACTTAAACATCACTAAACTTACTCTCATAAGGACAATGCATGAGAAAATCTGCTGTGCATTGTCAATGGGAGTTACTAATTGAAATTTCAGTACTTTGAAGAGACATCTGCACTTCCATGTTTACTGCAGCACTATTCCTAATAACCAAGATACGGAATCAACTAAGTGTCCATCAGCAAATGAATGGATAAAGAAAATGTGATATCTGTACACAATGGAATATTATTCACCCATACAAAAGAATGAAATTCTGTCATTTGCAGCAGCATGGATGGAACTGGAGGTCATTATGTTAAGTCAAATGAGCCAGGCACAGAAAGACAAATACCACTTGTTTTCACTCATATGTGGAAGCCAAAGAAGTGGATGTTTTTACCAGAGATCAGGAGGTTCCCAGAGGCTGGGTGGTTACCAGAGGCCAGGAAGGAAAGTGGGGAGAGGAAGATGAAGAGAAATTGGTTAAGGGGTCCAAAACAGAGTTAGATAGAAAAAATAAGTTCTAGTATTCAATAGAGGGCAATAGAAAAATTATAGTTAACAACATTTTATTGTATATTATTGTATATTACAAAATAGCTAGAACAGAATAATTGTAATGTTTCCAACACAAAGAAAAGATAAATGTTGGAAATGATGGCTCTCCTGATTTCCCTGATTTGATCATAACACATTGTATATAGGTATTGAAATATCCCATGCACCCCCAAAATATGCACAATTATGATATATCAATTAAAAAATTCAATGAAAGACATTGCTTAATAAGCACAATTCTAGAAAAAACTATTGCTATACAGAAGAATGACGGCTGATCTGTAAATAGGCCAGAAAAGGGAGCATTCCTCTTTTCAAAACCAATTTAACAGACAAGGATTTGAGGAAGCCATTAACCAGTGCGTAAAGACTCATATGTGGGGCGCATAAATTGCTCTACTGAAATGTTGACTTCCAAATATTACTCTGTGAAGCATGTGCCAGTTCAAAGGCTGGGATGATACCCTGACATTAAGAGACAGACTTTTTAGCAAACAGAGTAAAGGCAGGTCTTATTATAGTTTGATGTGTACGTGAGGCTTTGAAATGAAGGTCCTACAGAATGACTACCTAACTGTCTGAAAATTATAAATATATGTACTTGAGTTTCCTCCTCTTTATAGGCTTAAGTCCTAAGGAAGGAGTAACATTTCTAATGGTACCAAGTCTACTATGCCCATAACCCAGAAAAAGAAGAAAAATAGAAGAAAAGAAAAAAATACACTTACAAAGTTCCTACCATTAGAACATCTCTATACAATTTAAATCTGTATTTTTCATTCTCGAATGGGCTTTCTAATCAGTATAACAATAGCTTCAAAAAGACACATTCTTTCTTTTCTTTTACACCAGTCACAAGAAGGTGTCAGAAGATATCTTATCTCTTCACTCTCACATCCTCTTATATCCATCGAAAACCTTTTCCCAAATTAAACATCAACCAGATAACTGAAAAAAAGTTCAGTTCCTACTCCTGAAAAGAATATTTTAATCAGTGCTGTGAAAATATTCACTGCCTTATCCCTGGCTATATAAATCCTCTACAATAATGAAATTCTGGTAATGTTCAGAAGTAAGTATCTCTAGTGCCAGATTAATATAGAGAATCATAAATCAATGTTAACATTTATTTAGGGCTCCTTTGTGCCAAGCAAGGTGTTAGGCACGTTACATCTGTCTTCTCTCGTAACACACAAGAAATACAACCTAGTATTTTTAATGAGTGTTATTAGTGCAATTTTACAGAGAGGAAAACTGATGCTCAGTGAAGTGAAGCAATTTGCTGACAGAAATGATGGTACAAGTACCAGTGTCAGGTTTTAAACCCAAGCCTGTCTCTTTCCAGCTCCTGTGGTGCTCCCTTCACTATTCCAAAACATGTAAGCACATTGTCACTTTTCTCATCTGTAAAAAAAGTGCTGTGCCTTAATATTTAATACCGATTGATTAACATTTTAATAAGACCCACGTCAGAATATGGAACAGTATTTGAGTTTTTTTTTTTAATGTAACAAGAAAATAACCACAAAGGCATTCAGCAAAGATAACTCACACTGATGCAAGAATGTGTGCTTCATGGAGTTGTGGGGTTCTCTCTGGTGACATGTTCTGAGTGAAGATTTTGAAAAAGGGAAGGGATGCTTCCTGGTGGGCACAGAATGTTTTGCAAATGGCAGATGGTAACACTGAGACAAACTGTACTTATTCACTGGGCTCCCCAGTAACTGCACACACCGAATGGGCCTGAATTACAGTTTATCCAGATGCCAGACTTTGAGGACACTCCCCATACCACTCACCTGTAAGGCAGAGTGAGCACCTGTTAGATGACTGAAGTGGCTCAGTGCTTCTATCTTCAGGGCAGAAATGGTTCCAGATGCATGTTAATGCTTGTATGGCTATGTGGCGAGGAGTGGCACACTCTTCCTTGCCACATCTCCATAGTTTGAATATTCAGAGCACAGCAGCAAGGGAGGAAGGGAGAGGGAGGGAAGTTTGATTTATTCAAGCTAGAATTCAGTGCTTAATACTGTGCTAGGCAGTGCCATAGGCATTGTCTCATGTATTTTTTAAGGTAGTATCTGTATTCATTATTTGAATCAAACTGGAGAGGTTAAATGATTTACCTAATGTCATTCTAGAGCCCACTGGGAGTCCAGGTCCATATTTCTTCCTCTCCCCTTTTCAACTACCTAATTCCTATAATGGTGCTTTCATCCAAACTTGAGGGATTGGGAAGGCAGTTTCCTGGGAACAATCCTGAAGGGAAATGTGGATCTAGTTAACAGGAAACCATGCTTTTGTAGTGTTTACAATCCACACTGTTTTCTCATTTTATCCAGCAGAGCTTAGCATCCAAGACATTTACTTGTCTGTTTCAACAGCTGTTAGAAATTAAAAACAAACAAACAAACAAAATTGGGCTGAGAGCTTTGGAAAAACATTTGGCAATGTATCTTAGGTTAAACCATATAACATTGCCAATTTTTGACTGATTTTGGCCTATAAACCCCAGAATTTCTTATGGCCATCCTAATATATAAATTTAATACACACACTCATAATATTTGAGTCAGCTAGCATGTCAACATACATTTATAAGATATTGCAGGTTTTTTTCTAACAACAAAGACTGCATAATGCCTAAATACCTATTAAGAGCTGGATTAAAAAAATCTAAATATTCTGCACCCATGCAATGGAATACTATGCAGCTATTAAAAAGAATAAGTAAATTTATATTTGCTGATATAAAAAGATATCTAAAATCAATTAAATGAAAAACAAGATACATAACAAGAACAATATATTCTATAAATTGACAAGTGAATGCTTATATGTGAATCATATTGATTTATAAATAAACACATAAATAATGTGCACACACATATATGTCTATAAATCTGGGCAGAGAGATTGATGATTTGAAGGCTGTAACTCAGGAAAAACTTATTTTTATGTGTATTCTTTTGTGGCATTTAATTTTTTCTTTTATTCTTTGTGTAGTATTCTAAAAATTATTATGAAAGGCAAAGAAAACACTCTTTGATACCTGCAACAAAACTGTGTAGAAGAGAAGAGAGATCTCTGAGACTTCTGCCCCGCAGTGAAACAGGGAAGAGGAACATTTTTTAGTGGAAGAAACAATGACTAAAGATAGAAAGGAATGAATGGTGCCAGGCCTAGTGGCTCACATCTGTAATCCCCGCACTTTGGGAGGCTGAGGTGGGTGGATCACCTGATGGGTCAGGAATTCAAGACCAGCCTGGGCAACATGGTGAAATGCCGTCTCTACAAAAAATCCAAACATTAGCTGGGCGAGGTGGTGCGTACCTGTAATCCCAGCTACTCGGGAAGCTGAGGCAAGAGAATTGCTTGAGCCGGGGAGGCAGAGGTTGCAGTGAGCTGAGATTGTGCCATTGCACTCCAGCCTGGGTAACAGAGCAAGACTGTCTCAAAAAAAAAAAAAAAAAAAAAAAAAAAAAAGGAATGAAAAGAGTCATGTTAATCCCCTGGGCTCTAGAAAAAGGGTGAGATGGAGCCACTCTGGGATTAAGAAGTATCTGTCATGGGGCAAGATAACAAGTCATCTTGACCCTCCCAGTCTCCTGGGTTCCTAATGCTCCCTGCTGGAGCCCCTTGTCCTGGCTATAGAACCATAGCTGCTGAATAGATATTTAGAAATCTCTGATCTCACTATCCAAATAGACTCCCAAATCACTCCATATCACAACTCCCTGATTTATTTTACTTAAAGAAAAACATAGCACTTATCACTAACTGACACTTATACATTAACTGACGATTATTTATATATTTGCTTATTTTTAAATTTTCTCCTACCAAAAAACAAGTTCCAGAACAGCTGACATTTCATCATGTTTAATAGTGTCTCCCTGGAGTCTAGAACAGTGCCAGGCACAGTACGTGAGGGGCAGGTGGATGGATGTCTGTCTGCATGCAGTCATGGATGGATGCATGACTGAGAGAGGGTTGCTGCTGCTGCCGCTGCTGCTGCTGCTGCTGAGACCACAGAGAGGAAACTCTGAACTCACTGTTCTTTAAAACTAACACTACAACCTATGGTTAAAACTATATTTGTGGAGGCCAGGCACGGTGGCTCACGCCTGTAATCCCAGCACTTTGGGAGGCTGAGGTGGGTGAATCACCTGAGGTCAGGAGTTCAAGACCAGCCTGACCAACATGGGGAAATCCTGTCCCTACTAAAAATACAAAAAATTAGCCAGGCGTGGTGGCAGGTGCCTGTAATCCCAGCTACTCAGGGGGCTGAGGCAGGAGAATCACTTGAACCTGGGAGGTTGCAGTGGGCCAAGACTGCACCACTGCACTCCAGCCTGGGCAACAAGAGTGAAACTCCATCTCAAAAAACAAAACAAACAACAACAACAATAACAAAAAACTGTATCTGTGGGGGTTGTAGTTTTCAAACAATAAAGAGGCATGCCTAGTTTGACAATCCGACAAGATTGTCTGAGAATAGAGCAGTCCTGAAAAATCTTTGGTGGGTGGTTTCTATGACTCCTATATCAACTGGTAATAATTTTTCAGACATATAGAAGTCTAGCTTTTTAAAATTTTTGTTTGTTCGCAATGGAGTGAGACTCTTCTAAGGACATAACAATATGGAATAACATAGTTGGCACAGGAAATGTTTTCTGAATTCCAATCAACAACTAAGAAGCAACTATTTGAATGTAAAGCTTAGTAAACTGGAGACTGCTTGTAGAGCAAGAGTTGAAGGAATTCCTAGAATCTACCTTCGGCAAATGAGAAAAAGACAACATATTAGATTTGTGTGTCTTCTGCAAGTCCCTATCCTGATGCCATAGCTGATTAGTCACAATAGAGCACTTCATGCTCAATTTCATGTTGGGCTGGAGTCCTGTTCCCAGAAATTTGGGGTAAGAGCTAAGAAAAAGCCATCCGGTATGCCTGTATGACTAGAGGTGTAACATCTTTAGAGTTGTTGGTGACCGTATTCTGCCACGTTGAGGGAGAGACAGCCTGACAAGAAACAGGAATGATGCAGATGTGCCAGGATACATGAGGACAAGAGCCGGAGAGAAACACTGTGTCAGAGACTGTCAAGTAAAGTGTTCAGGCTGATCCTGAGGCTTTGTGGCAAGTTTTCTTTGAGTACCTGCCAAAGTTCCACAGTATAGAACAACACTGAGACTTGAACCCATTCTAATTTTGCTCTTATGCACAGGAAATACTGTCTTTCTGCATCATACTTGGGAGATAAAACATATTTCTTTCTCTTGGCATTTTTATTTTTATGTAAATCTTTTTTCAAAGTTTGCATATATTGCATCATATATCAGTTTCTTACTGTGTCTCTCATATATCCACAATTTAAAAATACTCCCATTTTATTTAAACGTCCAAATACTTGGCTGTTAATTTTGTCTGGATCATATATTCTTTCTAAGTTTAAGTTTTTGTTATCAGGAACAACTGAGTTTAATCTACAATTACTTTCTGTACTACAAATAAAAGATGTGACTATAAAGCAGTATCACTGCTTTCAATCTTGAACAAATTCACCAGATTTTGTATATTTAACTATCTTTCTGGCCTATCAGAATATTTTCTTAACCCCAGCATGGCATATGTATGAGAAAGGGAGTTACGGATTTCTACTGGACCTCAGAGTAAAAATCTTTTAAGAGCTATTAATACCATATGCTCGGAGAAACAAGGAGGATTGTGTAATTTGTTTGGAGTAGGTGGTCAACATGCATAGAGGTAGGGGATGGCCAGGTTGCTCACTGGTGTTAAAGACATCAAAGCCAAAAGCACTTGAAGTCTTTCCTCTAGGTTAGGGTTCTTTTAAAAACTTGCAAGACAAGTGCCTGCCTTACAGGGAACCTGTAGAGGGCAGTATTGCTGTGTATTTTGTATCTGTCAACTAAGAAACTACTTCCACACAGCCAAACAATCTAGGCATGAACAGATATAAGCTGCTAGGTTAAAAGTCTAATTGGTTTTAAAGGATACCTGGTTTGTCGCTCTTATTTTTAAAGTCACTCACAAAATTTTAAAACATTGTCCCCTCCAAATCTTCTTTACTTATTCACAGCACCATTTTTATAAAATGTTCTGTCCTGATGATTTAGGTTCTGTCCTTAATGATTTTAAAATATATTTTAAAAAATTACAAATTATTCTATTTCAGAATCTAAATGTAAAGAGCAGATATTCAATTTTCAGCTTTTGCTTGTTTGTTTGTTTGTTTGTTTTTGTTTTAGACAGAGTCTAGCTCTGTAGCCCAGGCTGGAGTGCAGTGGCACAATCTCGGCTCACTGCAAGCTCCGCTTCCCGGGTTCACGCCATTCTCCTGCCTCAGCCTCCCGAGTAGCTGGGACTACAGGCGCCCGCCACTACGCCCGGCTAATTTTTTGTATTTTTAGTAGAGACGGGGTTTCACCGCGTTAGCCAGGATGGTCTCGATCTCCTGACCTCGTGATCCGCCCACCTCGGCCTCCCAAAGTGCTGGGATTACAGGTGTGAGCCACCGCCCCCGGCCTCAATTTTCAGCTATTTTAATGCCATATTGTAGGCGGTTCAATTTTGTTTTTATTTGTGCTTAGTGCTTTTTTTTGCTAAATAAAATACAAAAGATATCTAACAAGATTACCTCCCAAAAAAGGATTTTTTTCAAAAGCTATACAAGATACTTTCTACTCTAAAGATATTTTAATATGATCACATTTTAAAACATAAGTGAAACGTAAACTGATGATAGGAGATTTAAAAAGCAAAAAATGAAAGAGCTTATTTTAAAAGTTAGCTTTGCTCATGTTGCTCCAGGCATTTCCTGAAAAGTAGGAGAAAATGTTTCTAGTGCTGTTTATAATGGTTTTAAAAGAAAGAAGCAGCTACTCTCATATGCATTTGTACTGACTGGCAGTGATGTCCCAGCCATGGTTTAGTTATATACAAATAAGATCCCTGAAGTCCTGTATTAATGGTTTCCCATTAAAACAGGCCAATCAGGCTGGGTGCGGTGGCTCACTCCTGAAATCCCAGCACTTTGGGAGGCTGAGGCGGGCAGATCACGAGGTCAGGAGATCGAGACCATCCTGCCCAACATAGTGAAACCCCGTCTCTACTAAAAATACAAAAAAAATTAGCCAGGCATGGTGGCAGGCACCTGTAATCCCAGCTACTTGGGAGGCTGAGGCAAGAAGAATCACTTGAACCTGGGAGGTGAAGGTTGTAGTGAGCCGAGATCGCACAACTGCACTCCAGCCTGGGTGACAGTGTGAGACTCCATCTAAAAAAAACAAAACACAACAAAACAAACAAGCCAATCAAACAACCTGAGTGCCTCTCCTGTTCAGGCGTGTGGTTAAAAGATACATGCAGGCACAAAATATAGCCCCTGCCTCCAAGGACATCACAATAGAGGTTAGGGTATGACATGAATGTTAAAAAAAAATGAAATCATACAAAGGAAATACAACAAACACAAGAACTAGTATAAGAAAAAATGCTTCTCTTGAAATTAAGTATTTTGGAGTTGGTTATTTTGAGGTTTGCTGGTAGAGGAGCTGGGCTTACAGGATGGATAAGTTTGTAGAAAAATAGAAAATGAAGAAGTCATGAAGAATCAGTCAGATACTCAAAAGAAGGAGGGCTGCATAGCACAATTTTAATATTTGCAACACTAAATGATTCTTAACAAGGAAGCAGATTCCCAGCCCTGCCTATCCATTCCTGGAAACTGGGCATCATATCGCTAAGGAGGAATTTAGCCCCAATTCCCTAGCTTGCCCTTTCTTTCCCACTTGGGAAAAGTACACAGTGAAAAAAGCAGGTATCTATATTACTGTGTTCACTACTTCCTCCTTCACGACTCCTAGGAAATCTATAGAATTATATGAGAACAAAACAAAACAAATAAAAACCTACCCCGACTTGACTTTAACTTACATCAAATTGCCTTTAACAGTAAATGTGTTCAATTGCTGGCATGCCTATTTTCTTAGTCCACTGGACTGTCAGGCTACAGGGGAAGGCACTGGGTTTTGGAATCATAGTACCTAGCATCATGCTGCAGAGCCAGGCTAGGCATTAGAATAATCTGCAGAACTTGGAAACTTATAGATTCTTGCCACGTAATAGAAATTTTCCCTCCAACAAACTTCTCCAGGACTTTATTTAGCATGAAGAACATTCTTCTATGTATTACACTTAGTTTGGTAATCTGTAGCCCATTAGATTATTATGAGATTATTCACAAGTTCAAGGACTATGTTTTATTCACTTTTTATGTCTTTCATACTGTGTAGTATGCAAGTAGGTACACAGGATGTACTTGTTGATTTTATTTTCTTATAGTTTTTTTTTTTTAAGAGATAAGGTGTCACTCTGTCACTCAGGGTGGAGTACAGTTGTGTAAGCACAGCTCATTGAAGCCTTGAACTCCTGGAGTGAAGGGATCCTCTTGCCTCAGACTCCTGAGTAACTGAGAACCACAGGTGCACAGCACCATGCCCAGCATATGTGTATATATATATTATATATATGTATATATACTACTATATATATTATATATGCACATGTATGTATACAATATAATACATATACTCTATAATACATATATATGTATATATGTATATATACATATACTACTATATATTATATATATACTACGGTATATATTAGTAGTTACTGGGGTCTCTCGCCATCTTGCCCAGGCTTGTCTCAAATTCCTGGTCTTAAGTGTTTCTCCTGCCACGGCCTCTTGAAGTACTGGGATTATAGGCATGAGTCACCATTCCCGGCCGCTGGTTAAATTTATAAGCTTCTCTCCTTTTCACGTTTTCCTGGGCACAAATTTACTCATATCTGACAATGACAACCACTTTAAGGATGAAAGCACCTTGCTTTAACCTCACACTCATATTTAAACATTGTTTGGAATTAATAGTGGAGAGCATTGAGACTGGATTAAAGAAGGCTTCTGAAAATGGAGGGCACATTTAGACTTGTCTAGCTGTTTAGTGGAGGCTGGCATATGATATTCTGTACCGCCTGGCTAATTCCCTCTAATGATTGGACTACCTTTAAGAATTCTCTGAAATAAGGACTTAACAAACAAATGGCATGCATGGGGAAAGATATATTTTTAAAAGACTAAATAACCATTTTAAAAAGCAGCAATACATAATGAAAAAATATCCCAAACCAATATGAAAGATGATTCAAGTCTCTTTTGTTACAAGTTGTTCTGGAGTCCTGTCAGTCAGGAATGTCACAGCTACAAGTAACTTCTTGGTTTGCCTCTAACGCGTGGAGGGTGGAGGATGGAGGGTTTAGGAGAGACCTCAGTCATCTGCTTCCCAGCTCAACCTCTCTTTATCTCTCTGTGTGTCTTTTCTCTCTCCTTAAACACTGGGGTAGCATTTAACAACCAATATGCTAAAGATCCATTCTCCTTGAATTTGTGCTCCAAGAGTACTAATTTTTTGCTCTCATTTAAGAAATTCTATTCATTTATTTTGTGACTTGGGCCTTATATCTTTCTCACACATATAGAGTGAGTATGTGACTGAGATTAAAAACAGAATCCTAAAAATTCATAGATTCAGGGATTATGGGATTCAAAATCAAGCAAATAACCATTCCAAGGAACATAAGCCAGACTCCTTGCCTCTCCAGGATTGAAGCTTAATCCAAATATGTTTGAATTGTGGTATTACAAGTAAAGTACTCAAGGGTCTTACAAAATGAAAAGCACTTTTCAAGTAGAACATGGCTTCTATGTTTTTCTATAAATATTTGGACAAAGCTGAATTCATATGTGATAATCAAAACAAACACACTGGAACCACTGGAAACAGATGCATCTACAAATGGATGAATTCCTTAAAAAGAATGGTTTTGTTTTTGTTTTTGTTTTTAATATGGAGGATGAAAATCACCTACCAAACAATAATTCCATAGCTCTTGGTGGCAACCATAGGCAAATCTTGGGATTTGAGAACTTGAAAAGATGCTAGGAATTAAATAATCAATTAGTTTTCAGTCTTGATACCATACTTCTGTGTTATATGCTACAACTTAGTAGTTGCTAATTAATGATAAAGTAGTGCCATTTGTAAGAGATTTGCTTATTTATAATTAAGGTTGTTTTAAGATTATTTTTACTTAAGTTTTGGCGTGTTTCCTTGAATGAGGGAGCCAGGATAACATAGAGTCGTTGCACTCTTGTGCTAACTTGCAGTCAGTCTTATTTGGCCTGTGTGTCTTATCACAAAAGAAAGAAAATAAAGATTTGAGAACTGTTACTTTGGTACAACAGTTCTGCTTCTCTTCTCTGTGGGTTTTGTTTCATTGGCTCTTTCTTTTCTGTTTTTGTTTTGTTTTGTTTTTGAGACAGGATCTCGCCCTGTCACGTAGGCTAGAGTACAGTGGTGCAATCATGGCTCACTGCTGACTCAGCCTTCTGGGCTCAAGTGATCCTCCTGCCTCACCCTCCCAAACAGCTGGGACTAACATGCCCAGCCTTTTTTTTTTTTTTTTTTTTTTTTTTTTTTTTTTTTTTTTTGAGATGGGATCCCGCCTTGGCGTCTTAAAGTGCTGGGATTACAGGAGTGAGTCACCACATCTGGCCCCTCATTGGCTCTTTCAAATGCTTGATTTGAAGTCCCTTTGTCTTTCTCTCAGTTTCACCTCCGAGGTCCCAGACCTCTTTTATTCCCCTAAATATCTTCTTAAAGGCAGTGATGTGCTCTAGCTCCCACTTAAGTACCATGATTTTTTTTTTAGCTGAATTATATGATAATTTGACAACACTGTCTTCTCTTTGCTTTCAATTTCTTTCTGGTGAATCTGAATTTCAGAAACACTCATCATTGCCTAGAGATTCAGATTCTCTCATTTTAACTGAGATCTGGAGTCCCTGATAATGCACTAATACTGAATAAAGGCAACATTTTTTCAGAACTTCCATCTCCAGGGCCCCTGTAAATCATAAAGTTTATAACATTTTACATAATTTAGGTGTCCTGTGTGAGATTTCAAAATATCTACATTTTAACAAGTTTAATCGATATTCTAAAGATTACAGAAATTATCTGTTGCTTATAACCTATGTGCAAAATGGCACTAAAATATAACAAAATTTAAGGCAATTGTTTTTGCCTCCTAAGAAACGTACAGGCTAGCTAGTGATATTTTAAAAAACTTGAAAACAATTCATAATAGAGAATACATAAACATTAAATAACAGCACATACTTTGGAGTCACAGAAATCAGGGATTGAACCTTGTCACAAACCTCAGTTTCCACATCTGTTAATTGGATTTAATCAAAGAACCGATTTTAATGGCATTATTGTGGAAATTGACCTAACACCTTCTTATCTGATGCAGACATTCAATTAACCAATTCACTATATGTCAATCTATACGTCTATACATATAGTACACACACTTTTCACCTTTTTTTCTCAAACACTTAAACAGTAATTTGGTAATTCTGTTATTCAGAAATTCAGGTTGCATGTTCCATTCAACTAGAGAGCAAAATCAAGCTCAAGCTTAGCTGGATAGACAGGCTGAGTTAATTAGTATTCCTTTTCTTATTTTCCTCCTCCTTCTCCTCTCTTCTGTCCTCCCTCATTTTCTCCCGCTCTCCATGTTGCACGATAAGAGAGAGACATCATCAGTATCTCGGCTCAGTGACTGCCTATCTCTTCTGGGAGAAAGCAGACTTTTGGCCAGCTGCCAGCTTCTGCCTCCAAGGTTGAGGACAATTGCCCACTCTGTGCCATGGTGGCCAAATCCTGCCAAACAGTGGCAGATGGTGTCTTCCCCACAGACCTTCTACAAGTCACATGGCAATTGGCCTGGGTGAATGTTCCAGCTCCTTCGTGACTGGTCTATCCCAGTCAACCTGCCTTACCACTCCCTCCCCCACTCTGGCAAATAGAACACAGACTTTCAATCACTGTCACTTTTTCCATAATCCTCTCATTGGAAAAGAGAGTTTTTAAAGAGTAGATCTTTTTATTTGGTTTTGGTCTTTGAACTACATAATCAGACCACATAGAATGGTGTCAGCTGCTCTAGTAAAATGCAACTACAACACAAAACATGAAAAAAAAGTACCAGTGCCTGTAAAAAAATTATTTTCTCAATAATCTTTTTCCTCTCCTATATTCATGGAATGGAGCTGTTATTTTATAAAATTATGCACTAAAATATCACTAGGCCCTGAAACAAATTCAGTTTCTCTCTCAACTTCCAGCCAGTTTCAACATTGTTGCCCGCCCTCCAACTCCAGGGAAAGAAAATGGCCCACATCCAGGTAACTGAGGCAGTGAGTTCTTCTGCTCATCACAGTTGCCATCATCTACCAGCTTTTTGGCATTCCTGCCTGTCTCCAAGCCATACACATGCCCAAGTGAACAAAACTGAATCTAAAAATAAAAATAAAAATGCAGAAGTCATACTCAGAGAGCTGGAAGTTTAACACATATAATGATATCGCTGTAAAACTATTTGCTTTTAGAGATATTTCTGAAAATGAAAACAAAAACCCTGTTTATGTATTTATTTATTTTAAAACCCTCCCTTTTCTTTACTTCTGGGTAATTTAGTAAGATAGCACCATAGAGTCTCTAAGATGTTCCCATTTTTCCTAACAGCAAAAGCCATTCTAGCCCCATCTCTAGTATGATCTTAATATTGTTTTCTGTTGTGTTTTTCTTCTCTCTTGTGCCTAGTGGGAAACAAATAACCACCTCTCTGGTGCCGAAGGAAGGAAAACCTCCTGTGAATGTCTTGGTTTGTTTAGATTTTTCTGAAAGAACAGCAAAATGGTTATGTGAAAGGGACCCTGCATTTGCTATTTCACTGGCTGGTGACCTAGGGCAAGTTACTTTAATTTGAAGCTTCAATTTCTTTGTAAAATGAAGAGAATAATGTCCTTAAATTATAGCATTGTTAAATTAAATTAAAGAATACAAGCACTGTTAAATTAAAGAATACAATAGTGAACAGAATAAATACTCAAAAAAGTTAGCTTTCATTACTGCTTTTTTATGCATAGGGAATCTGTGTTTCTGGGATAATGTAGGACTACTGAGCTGCATCTATAAGACAACAGTATATTGTTAAATATTCTCTGAAGTGAGGATGATTGCAAGGAAGAGCTTGTTTCATGGTAAAATAAGCCATGGGTTACAAAAATATGCAAAGAATGACATCATCTTCCACTCACACGAAGGAAAGAAGGACGAGAAGAGAGATGATGATAAGAAATATAATAGTCCTCATATTTATCAATTTTTATTGAGTGCCAACCACAAGCAAGCACACAGTATATGACAGTAAATAAAACAGGTAAAAGATAGCTAAACAAACTATTAAATTCAGAATAGAAAACTCTGTAATAGATATGAAAAAGATGACTAATAAAGAATATCGGCTGGGTGGGGTGACTCACCCCTATATAAGGCCGAGGCAGGCAGATGACTTGAGGTCAGGAGTTCGAGAGCAGCCTGGCCAACATGGTGAAACCCTGTCCCTACCAAAAATACAAAAATTAGCAGGGCATGGAGGTGGGCACCTATAATCCCAGCTACTCAGGAGGCTAAGGCAGGAGAATCGCCTGAACCCAGGAGTGGGAGGTTGCAGTGAGCCGAGATCACCGCACTCCAGCACTGCAGCCTGGACGACAGAGGAACACTCCGTCTAAAAAAAAAAAAAACCCCAACAACAACAACAAAAAGAATATCCCAGATCGGAGGTAGGTACTTTCAATAGAAGTTCTCCTCTGAGAAGAAAGCATTTAAATAGAGATTTGAATGATAAGAAATAGCCAAACAAACAAACAAAACAAAACCCAAAGGCATGTACTCTGTAAGGAGGGGATCCAGCATGTGTGAAAGGCCATCGATCTGAAAAATCTGTGGACATTCGTGAACTATGTGGCAAGTCTGTGTGGCTGGAGCATGGGAGCAAGGGGCGATAGGGGATGGGATCCTGTAGGCTATAAGATTGAACGTGGGCCGGGCGCGGTGGCTCACGCCTGTAATCCCAGCACTTTGGGAGGCCGAGGTGGGCGGATCACGAGGTCAGGAGATCGAGACCATTCTGGCTAACACGGTGAAACCCCGTCTCTACTAAAAATACAAAAAATTAGCCGGGCGTGGTAGCGGGCGCCTGTAGTCCCAGCTACTCGGGAGGCTGAGGCAGGAGAATGGCGTGAACCCGGGAGGCGGAGCTTGCAGTGAGCCGAGATCGCGCCACTGCACTCCAGCCTGGGCGACAGAGCGAGACTCCATCTCAAAAAAAAAAAAAAAAAAAAAAAAAAAAAAGATTGAACGTGGAGTTTTCACGATATGGAGAGTGTAATGGGAAGCTGTTGAA